>NC_000004.12:118769865-118921381 GCF_000001405.40 Homo sapiens
GGATTAGGTGAGTAATACATGTGCAGTGTACAGCATTGTGCCTGGCAAAAAGTAGTTGGAAAATTTTTATCCAGAACAGCCTTTCCTCTCTCAAAACCACTCAGCTCAGGACAAAGTCATCTTTGACAGGAGGGCAAGTATGAGATGGGCTTCAGGTCCTGAAGGCTACCTGGTCAGTTATTGTAAAAACATTATTGTAAAAATGATCTAGAAGACAGAGAATAAACTTTCAGGGGATTCTGATACACTCTAATGGTTAAAAGTTGAGAAGCAGAATGGATTTTTAAAACACTCCAGGAACTTTATTTAAATACATACTCACACATACAAATTCATATATCTGATGTATACACCACTCTTTCAGACAAACTTTTTGTTAGAAAGGCATATAGTGACAAATGTTTGTTCTCTTCAGCTGGTAATAGGAAGAAATTACTTGAGGAGGCAAGAGAGAAGCAAAAGCATGCAGGTACAAAAAAAAGAGATTCTTAGAACAATAAATGGAAAGCTAGAAGAGTAAGAAGCGGAAGACAACAAATATGTGCTGTTCAGGTAGCTTCCTCTGGATTAAAAGTACAATTACCAATCATGACTCCAGTTACTGCTCTGTTCCACAACTCCAACCTCTGAGATCAGGAGATGCTTTCAGAAGTTAAAATTGGGAGAAATTCTGCAGTTTCCATTCACTCAGCCAAGTTTACTTTTCTCATCCTTTTATTTTCAAAAAGTCCAAAGGCTGTAACAAATCCCCTGATTTTAGAAACCAAATAAGATCCAATTATATGCTAGACAAGCCAAAAGTAATGGAAGCAAATTTGACCTTATTATCACTGATATGATTTGCTCAAAACCAGACCCAGCCTAAAATTACTGTGAAATTGTCGGCAATGAACACCTATGCATTCCAGTCCTGACAGATTCAAACTTGCAGGACTGAAAATCAATGTCTAACAGGAAACTGGAGTCAAGTCATGACTGTGTCTAGGCTATTAAATACACTTACAGTTTTTTCAATTTTCACTTTTTTAGAAACCAGATGATGGATAGGTAAGTAAGGTCTTCAGAAAACTGAGGTGACAGTAAAGAATGTTAAAAGCTTTTTAACTGTTTACATTTTATTTTCAGGCAACAGGGCAAGGGCTTCTAAATTACACTGGCTTGTTTCATCTCTCTCAGGCCATGTTGAAAAGCATCAAAGATTTCCCTTTGCACTCTCCAGATGTCAGCTTATCTGCACCACAGTGTGCATGAGCTCATAAATAGCTAACCTTACTTTTCTTTTGAGTTCGATCTTGGTGTGCATGGCTTTAAAAAAAAATCAAGTTACTTTTCAAAAAATTGCCTAAGTTATCTTTTTTCCTTACCAAGGGAATTATATTTACCTCAGAAATATTTTCAGATTTTAAAAATTTTGTTTACAAATATACTTTAATATTTAGCTCTTAGTATATCCCTGTCTGCCCTTTCTTTTCTGTTCTTAAGTGGAAAAGTGAAAGGATAGAAAGACTGGCTATAAAAACCTCACCTGGCTATTGTTTGGTTCTGGCCCTGTGTGGCCTGAGTTTACACAACATGAAAGTGATAGGGAGGCTGAGGAAAAATGTGAATCTTTTCCTTGTATTTTTGGATTAACGGGTGTGCCAAATACTGTGCTGATACTAATTTTAATAAAAGTGCTTTAATTGAATAAAATGTATCTCTTGTGTATGTATATAAACACTGGTTGATTTTGGACCACAAGTGAGAATATCATTCTACGAAATGAGACTTAGTACTAAAATGATATCCAACAATTAAGAAACAAAATAAAACAACTTTTGATTATTTTTCCATGTAAAAGAAGCAGACATCAAGATGTATCCACCAATGCCTTCTTAATACCACTAGTAAAATTTTAAAAGTCTTCTTATTTGAATACATTATCAGTTTTCCGAGTATTGCTGCCATTCTCTTGGGTAACTTTAACATTTGTACCACAGGTACCTTTGAGGGACCTACAGTGTAGCGGGGTAGAAAGACAGTAAATAAAAAAGTACACACAAATGCCATGAAAAAAACAGGGTATGAGGAGAAACAATACTTGGCAGAACATCATAAACAAGAGCTCTTTTTAAAGCTCTTTTCAATTTAGAAAGGCGATGTTAAATTATTCACAGATTGTATTTCCAAAACAAACACAGATGCTCAAAGAAAATACAGTGTAGAAAGACCCATCATGAAAAATCTGTATCAAGTTTGTAGGCTGTGTGTATTTTTGTTTTGGCATCTATATTATTAAGAAAAATCTGAATACCCAAGCCTGGCTACAGTATTTCTGTTTTAGGAAAGTAATGAATTGCAATGAGGAATTAAAGAAAGCAGCTAAATACCAAAGTGTTTTTATCACATAGATCCAATAGGTGGCACTATGCAACTAAAAATTAAGGCTGTATATACCTTACCAGCAGGCAAGAAAACAACCAAGATAATCATGCTACATTCATTACATGTAACTCTAATAACTTTTAACTGAACTTGCTTTTCTCAAAGAAACTTTTGATAATGGTTTAAAAATATTCCGGGCCAAGCAAAATACAAATAAACATGGAATACAAGACTATTTTATGCATACATTGTATAGAAACTACAGAATGTGCCACATTTACTAATTGCCAAGAAAAACTTATTTTTAAAGTTCCTAATCCTCTGCCGACTTTCCTTGAGTATATGTAGGGAAACAGAGGTACGGTTGGGATAGGGAGCCACAAAGTGGAGCAGGCAACCTAATGACAGCCTGTGAAGCAAAGAGAACAATGACACGAATGCCCTGCTGCCAGCGTCCAAGCCCACTCTCCACATTAGCCATCGTGGTGCAAAATAACAAAGCAACAGTGATGTCTGGTGTGTCCTGGCACACGGCAGTACACTGCGATGAAGAAAAATGATTTTCTAAAGCAAACGCCTAGCTTCCTGTTGGAACATCCTATCACAGGCATGGTGCTGGTAAAGGGCAGAGACAGAGTAGCCAAAGCCCAGATTTCAGAATACTCTGAATAAGTAATGTCATACCCACCCACACTCAGAACATTGCTGGGTGAAACTGGCCCCATCTCTCCTTTCTTCTCTCATTGGTCCACTACCCACTCTCCTTATCTTTCAGCACCGGAGTTCATGTAAGTTCTAATATACACACACAAACTCTTCAACCACCTACTTTCCCCTCTCTTTCTAACACTTATTCACTAATTTTAAAAAAAAACTTATTTTACATTTTCAATGTATACTTCTTCCTCCCCCTTTTTTTTCTCTCTTTATTTCCTTCATTAGAAGTATTCAGGAATGTAATCAGCATCCTAGGACTCTACAGTTGTCCCCACAGCACCAATATTCTACTTTACAAAGTGCCTGAAGGAAATACCTTGGCTAAGCAGTTACTGGTCATGGGAAAGAAATTTTTGCCTACAATGGGACCTAAATAAGATGAGAAGATTTAAGATAAGACCTGCCAAAATGTTATACAGTTTTCTAGCCTGATTAAGGATCATATTCAGCATCAACTTGTATTTCCCAGGAAATCACTGTAAATGTATCTCTCTAGCAGCAGTGATTTCCTATTGTCAATGTAACTTTGGCAAGCGGCTACTTCTTGGAATTGGAGTGCTGCTTATTCTTTGGAACTGTCTCAAGAGGAGGTCAGTTGGTAATTTGGATTAATTGGGGGATATAAGTAGAAGCATGGAAATGGTATGTGAAAAGATAATCCAGAACCTGTGATGAACAACTACCCTTTAAAAATGTTAAACATTCAGACTATTAGGCATGCTGGAAGATGAGCAGTCAGTCAGATTCCCAAAGGATTATGCCCAGAGGCGAAAAGGAAAAGAGTCTGTATCAACTGCATTTATTAAAGACATTTCCATGTGAAAGAGAAATGAGAAGCAGCTTATATGTGCTTTCTACTTTTAGCTTTACTGTATATGACATTTACCTGGCCTATATGGACAAAAAAGGTACAGTTCAATAGGCTATTTACCGTACAAGTGCTTTTTAGAGAGCAATACTATTCTATTTAGAATTTTTTAAATACATGTGAAATGAAAGAATATTTTCTGAATTAAAAAATAAAATCCTATCATGTGTCTTCTAAAAAGAAACAGCAAGCTTGAGGATAAGACACTTAATACATTGTGTTAGTTCTAAGACTATATTTATATTTTTATAAATAATATTTATTAAAAAATTTAATGCTTTTAGTTGGCTCTTCTTAACCTAAAACTTTGCTTTTTTGCATTTTCAGAAGATTTTAGTTTTCTTAGTTTGTTAGTGACACTTGGGAGATTGTTTTCCTTTTTTTCTTTGAACAATACTATCAGAGAGTCTATTTGTTCTGTCTTAATTATATCTACAGCTTGTATTAGATTTGGATACCTCTTTAATTTGGAAGTTAGTTTTTTATTTTTGGGTTTCTTTTCATTGAAAAATACTGAAAAATTTTACTGATTCAGACTTTTCATAATAAATGTAAGAGCATAACTATTATCTTTATGATCTTATGGTCACTTGTAGTTTAAAATGTTCTCATTTATAAAATCTCAATTTGATATTGAGGGGCTAACAACCCAGGGAGTGGGGAATTCCCATCCACATTGTTCAGAGGAATGCAAGGTCAGTGATAGGAAGTGACTTATGAACAAACTGCAGAGCTGTAGCTTGAATTCTGATTTATTCCAGCTATTTATCTCCTCTATACTATATGTGCAAGAAACAGCTTGCAGACTGGATCTGTAGAAAAGCATACAGTTTCAGAGAAAGGTACCATTCTCGCTGGTCTGTGACTTGAATCAAGCCCTTAAACCATGCTCCCTGGTAAGCATTCTAATTGTCTCTGGTCATTTCTCTCTTCCATTCTCTATAGGAGCTGCCATATACCTTTGCATCTTTATTAAGCTCCTCCCCATAAGCTCCTTCTCCACCTCCCTTGGCAGTTAAATTTACATTCTTCTTCACAAAGAAAACAAAACCTCAGGTAAGAACTCTCTTGACTTTCCCCCACTAATTGACCAGCATCTATCCAACACTTTCCTTTCTCTCCTTCTCCTGTTACAATGGAAGGGGTATTCCCTCTCTTGTGACTTCTTAGAGGCTTTGTCTAATCCTGGACCATGTCTAAATCTGGCCCCTCAAGATCATTTCATCCACAAGGGAGAAATATATTTTGTTGTCTAATTCCAGGCCACTTGCAGGAGACATATTTAATTGCCATATGTTCCCATATAACCTTGTGCCTGAAAGCACTTATCACACTATTTTACTTTTCAAAACCACGACTACATTCTCAAATCCATGACTCACAGGTCCAGCCTGTTTACTGTAGTATCTCCTGTAGCACAATACCTGAGACAGGGGTCGGTCAATGGTTTCTGAATGAAAAAACACAACAGCTCAGGTACCCACAAATATACGCTCAGGATAACTTGTGATAGGTGTTAAAGCAAAAGGTCAAAAAAAAAAAAAAAAAAAAGAAGAAATCTTCAGAGGGGTCAGTAAAGCCTTCGCTCAAGGAAGATATGGGCACTTATGAGGAGCTATTTGTCCACTGAGAGAGAGAAAGAATTTCAACCAGTGAGAACAGCTTAACACAGGAGGAAAAGCCCACGGTTTGTTGGTGGCCAGCAGGCAAGTAGCCTTGAACAGCTGGGATGAAGGGAGATAAAGAGAAAGGCTGGAGTGATTTTGAGGAGAGCCTTCAAAGCCAGGTAAGGTAGTAGTATACTGACTCAGCAGGTTTCAGACAGACAGACAGACGCATACACACCCCTACCTAAAATCTGTTGTTACTACATGGTAGGAATTCTGATAGAAGTTAGTAAGATATTTCACCATTCACTAAAATGATATCCTTGGGAAAATAGTACATGTGTTATAAATTTTGAAACTTGCTTATAAATTAGCAAATTCTATCACGTTTTACCAATATCATGAAGAGTTTTTAGAATTTTTGTTTGTTTCATCATCTCATATTTCACTCAATTCATTAAATTTTGGGTTTATGTTTAAAATAAACTCAAAATATGTTTGAATACTGTGAACAATTTTTAAATTGAATTTCTAACTAAAAAACTTCACTCCTTAACAGCAGTATGTTAGCTTCACATTCACCACTGATCCCAAGGGCCTACATTACAGAGTAAATTCTCAATAAATATTTGAGTGGATGACAAGGAAGAGAGATAGGGAAGGAGTTAGGGAGGGGAAAACTGAAGGAAGGGAAGGGGAGGGGAGAGGAGGGGAAGGGGTAGGGGAGTGGAAAGGGAGGGAGACAGAGAAGTCTCCTCTGGAATTGAGGATATCTGCCAGTTCTATCACAGAAGATCTGGGTGTGATGAACCCTAATGTGCTTTTATTCCAAAATATACACTGATAACTATACTAGGAGATTCGTCTCTTGGAATGGCCAAAAATGCTTTAAAGCAAGCACAGCTGTGACCTTTCTACCCAGGCCTCTAATGCCAGGAGGGCTTGTTGGTGGGAAGGTCACATTAAACTGTACACTGAAGTCTATGAAAGGGCAGCTCCTGGTGAGAGGGTATCTTTAGTTTCAGAAGGGAAAATAAATACCAATGCAGTTAAGAGAGCACCTTAATAGTTTTTTCTGTCCTAGTTCATAACTAAACTATCAATGGTAGGTAATGATTCTTAAGCAAAAAATGGTCTGTTTGGATTGGGTTATGCTGACACAATGTTTCAAGTTAAGGGCATATTTGCAAAGATCAGCATTATTTTTCTTGCTAGAACAGATGTTTAAAACTTTTGAGTAAGATATTATCTCTCCAGAATCTTATGCTTGAGCAACATTTTGCCACATTTCTTACAATCTTTGACCTACTGTAATTTATCTTTTATCTCTATGGGAAAATAATATGTTGTCTAGTTACAGGCCACTAGCAGAAAACACACTTCATTGTTACAATAATGCACAATGTTCTACAAATGATTAATATATCTTAGACTTAAAACCCTTCTATAGCTAGTGTTTTTCTTCTATGACAGAACAATTGGCAGCTTTCCACTCCTCAAAGGAAAGTTGTGAAATACCCTAAAGATAAAAAGGGTTAAAAATAATAAGCCCAGAGGCAAACTATCTTTGTCTCTCTGGCAGAATTATAAATTAGTCAAAGTATTCCCTGCATTAGTCTTACTTCTTTATAAGGCCATAAAAAGAGATTTCCCTCTATGTGAAGGTCTGAATTATTTATTTATTTATTTATTTATTTATTTATTTTTATTATACTTTAAGTTAGAGGGTACATGTGCACAACGTGCAGGTTTGTTACATAGGTATACATGTGCCATGTTGGTTTGCTGCACCCATTAACTCATCATTTACACTAGGTATTTCTCCTAATGCTATCCCTCCCCCAGCCCTCCACCTCACAACAGACCCCGGTGTGTGATGTTTCCCACCCTGTGTCCAAGTGTTCTCATTGTTCAATTCCCAACTATGAATGAGAACATGTGGTGTTTGGTTTTCTGTCCTTGTGACAGTTTGCTCAGAATGATGGTTTCCAGCTTCATCCATGACCCTAAAAAGGACATAAACTCATCCTTTTTTATGGCTGCATAGTATTCCATGGTGTAGCCACACTTTCTTAATCCAGTCTATCATGGATGGACATTTGGGTTGGTTCCAAGTCTTTGCTGTTGTGAACAGTGCCACAATAAACATACATGTGCATGTGTCTTTATAGCAGCATGATTTATAATCCTTTGGGTATATACCCAGTAATGGGATTGCTGGGTCAAATGGTATTTCTAGTTCTAGATCCTTGAGGAATCATCACACTGTCTTCCACAATGGTTGAACTAGTTTACACTCCCACCAACAGTGTAAAAGCATTCCTATTTCCCCACAACCTCTCCAGCATCTGTTGTTTCCTGACTTTTTAATGATCGCCATTCTAACTGGCGTGAGATGGTATCTCATTGTGGTTTTGACTTGCATTTCTTTGATGACCAGTGATGATGAGCATTTTTTCATGTGTCTGTTGGCTCCATAAATGTCCTCTTTTGAGAAGAGTCTGTTCATATCCTTTGCCACTTTTTGATGGGGTTGTTTTTTTCTTGTAAATTTGTTTAAGTTCTTTGTAGATTCTGGATATTAGCCCTTTGTCAGATGGGTAGATTGCAAAAATTTTCTCCCATTCTGTAGGTTGCCTGTTCACTCTGATGGTAGTTTCTTTTGCTGTGCAGAAGCTCTTTAGTTTAACTAGATCACATTTGTCTGTTCTGGCTTTTGTCACCATTGCTTTTGGTGTTTTAGACATGAAGTCCTTGCCCATGCCTATGTCCTGAATGGTATTGCCTAGGTTTTCTTCTAGGGTTTTTATGGTTTTAGGTCTAACATTTAAGTCTTTAATCCATCTTGTATTAATTTTTGTATAAGGTGTAAGGAAGGGATTCAGTTTCAGCTTTCTACATATGGCTAGCCAGTTTTCTCAGCACCATTTATTAAACAGGGAAACCTTTCCCCATTTCTTGTTTTTGTTAGGTTTGTCAAAGATCAGATGGTTCTAGATGTGTGGTGTTATTTCTGAGGCCTCTGTTCTGTTCCACTGGTCTATATCTCTGTTTTGGTACCAGTACCACGCTGATTTGGTTACTGCAGCCTTGTAGTATAGTTTGAAGTCAGGTAGTGTGATGCCTCCAGCTTTGTTCTTTTTGCTTAGGATTGCTTTGGCAATGCAGGCTCTTTTTTGGTTCCATATGAACTTTAGTTTTTTCCAATTCCATTAAGAAAGTCATTGGTAGCTTGACGAGGATGGCACTGAATCTATAAATTACCTTGGGCAGTATGGCCATTTTCACGATATTGATTCTTCCTACCCATGAGCATGGAATGTTCTTCCATTTGTTTGTGTCCTCTTTTATTTTGTTGAGCAGTGGTTTGTAGTTCTCCTTGAAGAGGTCCTTCACATCCCTTGTAAGTTGGATTCCTAGGTATTTTATTCTCTTTGTAGCAACTGTGAATGGGAGTTCACTCATGATTTGACTCTCTGTTTGTCTGTTATTGGTATATAGGAATGCTTGTGATTTTTGCACATTGATTTTGTATCCTGAGACTTTGCTGAAATTGCCTATCAGCTTAAGGAGATTTGGGGCTGAAATGATAGAGTTTTCTAAATATACAATCATGTCATCTGCAAACAGGGACAATTTGACTTCCTCTTTTCCTAATTAAATACGCTTTATTTCTTTCCCTTGCCTGATTGCCCTGGCCAGAACTTCCAGCACTATGTTGAGTAGGAGTGGTGAGAGAGGGCATCTCTGTCTTGTGCCAGCTTTCAAAGGGAATGCTTCCAGTTTTTGCCCATTCAGTATGATATTGGCTGTGGGTTTGTCATGAATAGCTCTTATTATTTTGAGATATGTTCCATCAATACCTAGTTTATTAAGAGTTTTTAGCATGAAGGGTTGTTGAATTTTGTCAAAGGCCTTTTCTGCGTCTATTGAGATAATCATGTGGTTTTTGTCATTGGTTCTGTTTATGTGATGGATTACATTTACTGATTTGCATATGTTGAACAAGCCTTGCATCCCAGGGATGAAGCTGACTTGAATGTGGTGGATAAGCTTTTTGATGTGCTGTTGGATTCGGTTTGCCAGTATTTTACTGAGGATTTTTGCATCGATGTTCATCAGGGATATTGGTCTAAAATTCTCTTTTTTTGTTGTGTCTCTGTCAGGCTTTGATATCAGGATCATGCTGGCCTCATAAAATGAGTTAGGGAGGATTCCCTCTTTTTCTATTGATTAGAATAGTTTCAGAAGGAATGGTACCAGCTTCTCTTTGTACCTCTGGTAGAATTCAGCTGTGAATCCATCTGGTCCTGGAATTTTTTTGGTTGGTAGGCTATTGATTATTGCCTCAATTTCAGAGCCTTTTATTGGTCTATTCAGAGATTCAACTTCTTCCTGGTTTAGTCTTGGGAGGGTGTATGTGTTGAGGAATTTACCCATTTCTTCTAGATTTTCTAGTTTATTTGCTTAGAGGTGTTTATAGTATTCCTGATGGTAGTTTGTATTTCTGTGGGATCGGTGGTGACATCCCTTTTATCATTTTTTATTGCATCTATTTGATTCTTCTCTCTTTTCTTCTTTATTAGTCTTGCTAGCGGTCTATCAATTTTGTTGATCTTTTCAAAAAACCAGCTCCTGGATTCATTGATTTTTTGAAGGGTGTTTCGTTTCTCTATCTCCTTCAGTTCTGCTCTGATGTTAGTTATTCCTTGCCTTCTGCTAGCTTTTGAATGTTTGCTCTTGCTTCTCTAGTTCTTTTAATTGTGATGTTAGGGTGTCGATTTTGGATCTTTCCTGCTTTCTCTTGTGGGCATTTAGTGCTATAAATTTCCCTCTACACACTGCTTTATATGTGTCCCAGAGATTCTGGCACATTGTGTCTTTGTTCTCATTGGTTTCAAAGAACATTGTTATTTCTGCCTTCATTTCGTTATGTACCCAGTAGTCACTCAGGAGCAGGATGTTCGGTTTCCATGTAGTTGTGCGGTTTTTAGTGAGTTTCTTAATCCTGAGTTCTAATTTGATTGCACTGTGGTCAGAGAGGCAGTTTGTTGTGATTTCTGTTCTTTTACATTTGCTGAGGAGTACTTTACTTCCAACTATGTGGTCAATTTTGGAATAAGCGTGATGTGGTACTGAGATGAATGTATATTCTGTTGATTTGGGGTGGAGGGTTCTGTAGATGTCTATCAGGTCTGCTTGGTGCAGAGCTGAGTTCAAGTCCTGGATATCCTTGTTAACCTTCTGTCTCATTGATCTGTCTAAAAAGTCTCCCATTATTATTGTGTGGGAGTCTAAGTCTCTTTTTAGGTGTCTAAGGACTTGCTTTATCAATCTGGGTGCTCCTGCATTGGATGCATATATATTTAGGATAGTTAGGTCTTCTTGTTGAATTGATCCCTTTACCATTATGCAATGGCCTTGTCCCTTTTGATCTTTGTTGTTTTAAAGTCTGTTTTATCAGAGACTAGGATTGCAACCCCTGCTTTTTTTTTTTTTTTTTTTTTTTTTGCTTTCCATTTGCTTGGTAGATCTTCCTCCATCCCTTTATTTTGAGCCTATGTGTGTCTCTGCATGTGAAATGGGTCTCCTGAATACAGCACACTGATGGGTCTTGACTCTTTATCTAATTTGCCAGTCTGTGTCTTTTAATTGTGTCATTTACATTTAAGGTTAATACTGTTATGTGTGAATTTCATCCTGACGTTATGATGTTAGCTGGTTATTTTGCCCGTTAGTTGATGCAGTTTCTTCCTAGCATTGACGGTCTTTACAATTTGGCATGTTTTTGCAGTGGCTGGTATCTGTTGTCCCTTTCCATGTTTAGTGCTTCCTTCAGGAGCTCTTTTAGGGCAGGCCTGGTGGTGACAAAATTTCTCAGCATTTGCTTGTCTGTAAAGTATTTTATTTCTCCTTCACTTATGAAGCTTAGTTTGGCTGGATATGAAATTCTGGGTTGAAAATTCTTTTCTTTAAGAATGTTGAATATTGGCCCCCACTCTCTTCTGGCTTGTAGAGTTTTTGCCTAGAGGTCCGCTGTTAGTCTGATGGGCTTCCCTTTGTGGGTAACCCGACCTTTCTCTCTGGCTGCCCTTAACATTTTTTCCTTCATTTCAGCCTTGGTGATTCTGGCAATTATGTGTCTTGGGGTTACTCTTCTCGAGGAGTATCTTTGTGGTGGTCTCTGTATTTCCTGAATTTGAATGTTAGCCTGTCTTGCTAGGTTGGGGAAGTTCTCCTGGATAATGTTCTGAAGAGTGTTTTCCAACTTGGTTCCATTCTCCATGTCATTTTCAGGTACACCAATCAAACACAGATTTGGTCTTTTCACATAGTCCCATATTTCTTGGAGGCTTTGTTCATTTCTTTTTACTCTTTTTTCTCCAAACTTCTCACTTTATTTCATTAATTTGATCTTCGATCACTGATACCCTTTCTTCCACTTGAAGGAATCGGCTACTGAAGCTTGTGCATGCGTCACGTAGTTTTCGCACCATGGTTTTCAGCTCCATCAGGTCATTTAAGGTCTTCTCTTCACTGTTTATTCTAGTTAGCCATTCGTCTAATGTTTTTTCAAGGTTTTTAGCTTCCTTGCGATGGGTTTGATCGTCTTCCTTTAGCTTGGAGAAGTTTGTTATTACTGACCTCCTAAAGCCTACTTCTGTCAATTCGTCAAAGTCATTCTCCATCTAGCTTTGTTCCATTGTTGGCAAGGAGCTGCAATCCTTTGAAGGAGAAGAGGCACTCTGATTTTTAGAATTTTCAGCTTTTCTGCTCTGGTTTCTCCCCATCTTTGTGGTTTTATCTACCTTTGGTCTTTGATGTTGGTGACCTACAAATGGGGTTTTGGTGTGGATGTCCTTTTTGTTGATGTTGATGCTATTCCTTTCTGTTTGTTAGTCTTCCTTCTAACAGGTCCCTCAGCAGCAGGGCTGTTGGAGTTTGCTGGAGGTCCACTCCAGACCCTGTTTGCCTGGGTATCACCAGCAGAGGCTCCAGAACAGCAAATATTGCAGAACAGCAAATATTGCTGCCTGATCCTTCCTCTGGAAGCTTCGTCCCAGGGGGCACCCACCTGTATGAGGTGTCAGTCAGTCCCAGTAGGTGTCTCCCCAGTTAGGCTACATGGGGGTCAGGGACCCACATGAGGAGGCAGTCTGTCCGTTCTCAGAGCTCAAACACCGTGCAGGGAGAACCACTACTCTCTTCAGAGCTGTCAGACAGGGATGTTTAAGTCTGCAGAAGTTTCTGCTGCCTTTTGTTCAGCTATGCCCTGGACCCAGAGGTGGAGTCAACAGAGGCAGCAGGCCTTGCTGAGCTGTGGTGGGCTCCGCCCAGTTTGAGCTTCCCTGGCTGGTTTGTTTACCTACTCAAGCCTCAGCAATGGGGTACAACCCTCCCCCCTGCCAGGCTGCTGCCTCACAGGTTGATCTCAGACTGCTGCACTAGCCGTGAGCAAGACTCCTTGGGTGTGGGACCCACCGAGTCAGGCATGGGATATAATCTCCTGGTGTACCATTTGCTAAGACCATTGGAAAAGCGCAGTATTTTGGTGGGGATGTTCCGTTTTCTCCAGGTACAGTCTGTCACGGCTTCCCTTGGCTAGGAAAGGGAAATCCCCTGACCCCTTGGGCTTCCCGGGTGAGGCGACGCCCCGCCCTGCTTTGGCTCACCCTCTGTGGGCTGCACCCACTGTCCAACCAGTCCTAATGAGATGAACCAGGTACCTCAGTTGGAAATGCAGAAATCACCCGTCTTCTGCGTCAATCACGCTCAGAGCTGCAGACGGGAGCTGTTCCTATTCGACCATCTTGGAACAGACCCCTGAGGGTCTGAATTTAAATGACACTTTCTCAATCAGGCCTGCCCTGAATACCCTATTTAACCTACAAAACCCATACTCCACCTCCTCCCAGGCAGACGTTATCCCCCAAGTCTGCTCTACTTTTTCCTTCCTCCATAGACCTAGATAACCTTCTTACCAGGTTCACTGTCTAGTCTCCATTAGAATGTAAGCTCCATGAGGGCAGAGATCTTTGTCTGCTCTGTTCACTGACATATCTCAAGTGCCAAGAACAGTATCCAGCACATACTGGGAGAACAATGAGTATTCATTGAATTGAATTGGTTATTCTTAAATTCTTTTTGAAATAAGGTGACATAAAGTTTTTCATAAAATGGTCATAGTTTATAAATTATCATATCAAATAACAATGGATTATTGTCCAGATTATGGTATATGAGATGACTGAAAACATCACTAAAATCCCAGGAGTGATTATACAAGTATAAATACAAGTATAAAACTGTTTCTGTAAAGAAGCTTAAGAGAACTCAAACCAAATGATCAATTCCCTTTAGAGTAGACACCTATGGAAGCTATGCATTTGTCCAAATATGTCTAAAACTTTTTCTACAAATTCCTTTCAGAGTGGAAAAAAATATAGGGCTCTAAAGGTCACACAGTTCAATCTGCTATTGACGTAAACACTGAAGACTGGCCAGGCATAGTGGTTCATGCCTGTAATACGAGCAATTTGGGAGGCTGAGGCGGGCAGATCACTTGAGCTCAGGAGATCAAGACCAGCCTGGCCAACATGGCGAAACCTTGTCTCTATTTAAACAGAAGAAAACACTGGTGACTAACCATCCCCTGTGCTCCGACTGGGCTACTTCCAGTAATACAGCAAATCATCTTTGGTGAGTTAATTTGATTTGGGCACACAGCCAAAAATCATTTGAAGGAGAGCATTTTTGAAAACAGGAATTTAAAAAGTTGAGAAAAAAATTTAATTTAAAAAACAGATGATCAATTCAAAAGCATTTAGAGAAATAAATACATTTATATATTTATTCTATATCAATAAACTGAAATAAGAGGAAAGATGACTTGTTATCAAAATAAAAGTTGATAAATATGAAACATTTTCTATGCTTTTCTGTAAGAAAGAAGAAATATAGACAAAATTATGTTTGAACTATTTAAAGAATTTTTCAAAACTTTTCAAACTATAGAGGACAAGGAAGTATGGGATGTAGTAAACCCCAAAAAACTTAAATCTCATTCCATGTTAAGACAACAATGTACTTTAATTTACAGTTTAGGATAAAGGAAAGTGATCTTTGTGGTAGATGAACTCCAGGATACCTACAAACACTAGATTTAATAATTATGGCTCTTCTATTTTACCTGCATTTTACAGAAATATTTTTCAAGAAAGTAAATGGTGGTTTTATTTTCCCAAACAACAAATAATATTTTAAAGATTTTTAAATCCTCTTTTTTGTTACAGGTACTGCTCATAACATCCTTCCCTGCCCCCCCCCCCGCCACCAAATACACACAAACACACACTCACAAATACTACATACCTTCCTCTGTGAGATGATATTGAGAGAAACACTGGAGTGGGGGGAGAATAATAGTGAAACCTAAGCTAAACTTTATGTAGAATTTTACTGTTCTGGAAATTCCTTATGAAATTGTTATTCTAGTCAGTGCAGCTGTTTTTATCTGTTGGCAATACTAAAGCAATCATAATTTGTAGTGCATCCCCAAATGGCTTTTTTAAATAAGAACATGTGTGGGAAATAAAATATTTTCATTGATATAGACCATGGAAACTGAACTCAAGCAGACACTAGGATAAAGAGATGACTCCTAAATACAAGATCCTCGCCTTAGTTTGGCATTTAAATTGTCAATTACTTTCTTATCTACTTTGTAACAGTTTTAGTATCAAATATGGCATTTGAATACAACAAGCTCAATAAATGTTTGAGCACAGGCAGACCTCTATGGTAAAAATGTCAACAAATTACTTGGCATCAAAATTCTACTATACTTCTATATATAAATGATATTATATGATTAAAATATCATAGTTAAATATTATTTAGCTAAAAATGTTCCATGTACTGTTTTAGGTCCTAGAAATGCAATAGTGAGAAAAATCAGATGTGGTCCCTACCCTTGTGAACCCAGCAGGAAAAAGATGTTAGTCAAATCTACATATCAAAATTGCAAACTGGGATTCATGGTATGAGTTGAGCTACAGGGGAGAATGGGGCTTGGGAAGTATCCCAAAAGCTCCCCTCAGGAAGTGACTAAAAGGACAGAATAGTGTGAAGGAGTTGAAGAAAAATTATTCCAGCAAATGCTCATGAAACACCTTATGAAAAAATAAAGTCTATACAAATGTTTATGTTATGGTGATGCTTATAATTTGAATAATAAGAAACAGAGAAAATAGTGATCTAATATCAAATGACAGATACCATGCAACATTCCTTTAAAATCAGAGTAATTAAGTCTCTTTCCCATCTACATATGAATATAAATTGTGGAGTCTAATTCAGTTTCCTCCTTCTTATATAATAGCTAGAACCACTGAAGGGGTTTGATGACATCCCTCTTAAATGTATACAGTTTCTAAGTAAATATAAATTGCCTGAAGTTCTCATACTTCTCTTTCTTGTATATAGCAGACACCCAAAATCAAGATAAGATTAAAATAAAATTTTCCATGGCAAAATTTGATATTGTATAGCAAATAATCATAATATGGATGAAGATAAGACTGATTTATTTTTAAACAACTACAGGTTAAGGGATGTTATTGTAATTTTACTTATGAAAGAAATAAGGCTCAAAAAAGTAAATGTTTCAAGGTCTTCCTGCTAAAATAGAGTCAATTTATGCACCTAACTCCATCTAACTCCTAAATTCCTGCCTTAGTCACCACATTCATGACAATGCTATATTCCTGACAAAAAAAATCACTTCAGAAATAATCTGTGCTTCAAACTTGGGGGTCACTTTCAAACATTTCAAGAAACAATGCCAAATTAAAAG
This sequence comes from Homo sapiens, assembly GCF_000001405.40. Classification (NCBI taxonomy): domain Eukaryota; kingdom Metazoa; phylum Chordata; class Mammalia; order Primates; family Hominidae; genus Homo; species Homo sapiens. Next base: position 118,786,277 of record NC_000004.12, read on the forward strand.
TTTAGACAGGGTTTTCTTTTCCTACATTTTTCTCTTTCTTCTTGTTTCTTAAAAGTATAATTTTGTTTATTTTTTGGCCTTTTATTCAATGGGAACTTGATTTCTATGAAGCTTTCCAATATAAACATTAAAATATTTGACTTTCTTGTACTTGATTAGCAAAGACGCACAGCTGCACACACTGTAGACCCTGGTACTCTTGAATTATCTAAATATCCACAAAATTTGACAGAAGTTAGAAGCATGAAGCAAGGTATAGATAGTATATTTCATTGATTCTAAAATCCCTTCAATTCTAAGAGACACCAAACCTTCCAGGTGAACATGACACATTGCTAAGAAGCCTTTTCAATAAGGCATATTCCTATTTTTAAAATGTTAAAATATGAGAAAATATGGGCCTTAGAATTTAGAGAAATAGCAGCAAAAAGGCTCTAACACAGTTCCTCGTCTGTGGTGGCTTCTCAATCCTCCCCACTGTTCGACATCAAGAAAGGCTGATTTGGGTCCTCAATCTAGTGATTGAGGCAATCTAGTGACTAGGGCAAGGAAGGTCATCAAACCCACACTTTCTGAAAATTCACTGAAAATTAAATCATGGCAGAATGTTTTCTTTGTATTGTTTCTCCTGAAGTTGTTCCCCATTTAATAAAAGAATAAAGACTTACAGGAATAATTCTGTGATTAAGAAAATAAGCTTGGTGCATTTAGCTTCTAAAATGTAACTTAAAAAGAATTCAAATGATCTTTGCCCTGACAAATGTGACTCTCCCTACACATGTGCTATAAGGCTAGAACACTGTTCTAAAAAGGGATAATATTCTGTTCTTCAGCTGCCAAACTTTTTCATAGTACTTTTTCATAGCACTATATAAACAGTGACCAAAAATCTTAAGAGATGAGATTCAGTTTCGAAAGTAACTTGATAAAACAAAGGTATTTTAAATGTTACATTCATCATTTTATTTCTAAATACATGCATTTTGTATGTCCAAGTTTTTATGTTGACACTTTAAAAATAATTAAAGCAGACAAGATGATGATACACAACTTAAAAAATAAATTCTGGCTTTTGAAGTTTTCATTTAAAAATAGATAATTTAAGTATTCTTTAAGTTCTTTACAGGCCATGATATCATACAGTAATCAGTTTAATTTCAGAGCATACTTATCACTAAACTAGCTAAATTTAGGCTATACATGAAAATGCATAGTCTCCCAATCTTCATGTGTTCTTTTTATTTTTAAAGTTGAGGCTGGATGTGGTGGCTCAAGTCTATAATCCCGGCACTTTGGGAGGCCGAGGCAGGTGGACTGCTTGAGCTAGGAGTTTGAGACCAGCCTAGGCAATATAGTGAGACCCTGTCTTTACAAAAAATACAAAAATTAGCCAGGTGTGGTGCACGTGGCCGTGGTCCCTATTTGGGTGGCTGAGGTGTGAGAATCGCTTGAGCCTGGGAGGTGAAGGTTGCCGTGAACAGAGATTGTACACCGTACTCCAGCCTGGGTCAAAGAGTGAAATCTTGTCTCAATAAATAAATAATGAAATAAACAAAATTAAAGTCGAGGTCTCACTCTGACACCAGGATAGAGTGACACTATGATAGCTCACTGCAGTCTCACACTCCTGAGCTCAAGTGATTCTCCTGCCTCAGCTTCCTGAGTAGCTGGAACTACAGGCATGCATCACTGTACTTGGCTACTTAAAAAAATATTTATTTTGGTAGACATGGGGTCTCACTATGTTGCCCAGGCTGGTCTCAATCTCCTGGCCTCAAGTGATTCTCTGACCTCAGCCTCCCAAGGAGGTGGGATTACAAGTGTCAGCCATCATGCCTGGCCATGTGTTTCTTTTTAAATGAATAATATAATACACTCCAGACTTAAACTGAAAGTGCTATACATATGAAATCACTTTGGGTTGGGTTGCGAAATTTGTTCACATTAATTTCTAATAACATATAGGGCTTCATAAATGGCATCTATGGTGAATGTCCAATAAAACTGGAAAAGTAAGACAGACACTATCAGCTTTCTGGATTTATGAGATAACAGAACCAGGCTTCTCCCTCTTAGAAATGGAGGCCTAAGGTCACAATATAAGGCACAGTGGAGACCTGAAATTATTTCCCGGCTCCTAATCCAGTGTTCCACCATTTGGCTACTGTGCTTTGGAAAAAGTAGCCAGTTTTTATTGGTTCCTAAAATATCTTGGTCCAAAATTCATCCAATTGTTTTACTATTCTGTCCTTTATAGTGAAAGAGAACCTCTCTCATTAATATGTGATAGAAGAAACTGAGTTAATTCTCCCACAGTGTTGAGAAACTTGTGAAAACTACATTGTCTTTCAAATGATTTTTTCTTTACCTACAGAGTTTGTTAGAGAGGTGAACAGGGTTATAAATGAAGTTGGTAGTCATTTAAAAGACATGAAATATCCAAAGTAGGATTTTAAAAAATGTTTATTTCATTAGCAACATGTTTATCAGTAGACCCAACTGCTGCCAAGGAACAACTAAGATTCACTGTGCTAAAAAAAATTAGAGGCCTAAAATACCAACAAATCAACCACCATTCTGTGATATGGTTTATTTTTGTCTTTTAAATGTCTCTACAACCCTGAGAAGAGTGCATTTATTCAACTAAGACCTCTATGCCCAGCCCACTGCTGAACTCTGGATAGTCTTTGCCTACAAGGAGTACTAAGCAGAGGCTTAAGGTCAAAAAGACTTTAAGAACTCTAAAATGATTATTTCAAGATAACTCATAAGCTTCCAGGAAGAGCAAGAGGCTCATTGCTAAAACTTTAGCCAGCAAGAAAAATAAATACTGTTTTATTGAAATTTGGAATCTTGAGTTCCAGCATATCACTTACCAGCTGGTAACTTTAATAGCCCCAGAACCTGTGGAGCTTCATCATCTATAAAAGTGGGATTACACCTATTACATAAGCTGCTATCTTCCTAAAAGAAGGGATGACATGGTCATAGTGAATAAACTACTACAGTGAGGCACTATAAGTTCTGCCAAAACTATGTCAACGCATGCAAGCAAGATTAGCTGAAAAGTCAAATGCATGACCAGCAATTCCTTTTGCAGGTGACATGTAAAGACCATCACTGACGTAACGTATTGGTGCTGGGCTTATTCTCTAACAGAATTTTCCTTTCTTGTTAACTCCATTAATCGGTTCCTTGACATCCATTCCTTTTTCCCCCACAATGGTACCCTCTTTAGATCTGCTGAATCTATCAAAATATAAACAATCATTAACAAGAAAGATTTAAACAGCATGTATTATTTATTTATTTATTTTTATTTTTTTGAGATGGAGTCTTACTCTGTCACTTAAGCTAGAGCGCAGTGGCGCAACCTTAGCTCACTGCAACCTCTGCCTCCCGGGTTTAAGTGATTCTCCTGCCTCAGCCTCCCGAGTAGCTGGGACTACAGGCACGTGCCACCATGCCAGGCTAATTTTTTGTATTTTTAGTAGAGATGGGGTTTCACCATGTTAGCCAGGATGGTCTTGATCTCCTGACCTCGTGATCCACCCACCTTGGCCTCCCAAAGTGCTGGGATTACAGGCATGAGCCACCGCGCCCTGCCTCAACAGCATTTATTAACAGGACAAAGTCCTTATTTATTTGTTAAGTCATAATTCAGGTAAAATTTTCCCAGAAAATAAGCTCCATATAACAATGAAGCTATCCCCATCAGAGCCTTTTTCACATTGTACGAAAGTTAGCTGCATTCGTGAAAAATTTTTATTAAGTCCTAGGCAAGAGTAACTGATCTTGTTTTTCTTGTTTTCCAAATTCCTAAAGTTCAGCAGAGTTCCTAGCACAGAGTAAGGAGGGGATTAAAACGCAACTGAAATGTTGAGTCTTGGATGAAAGTTTATCCTTGCTAATTCAATAAGCAAGGAAATTACTTTGACTACTATATCCATTTATAACTGAAAAATATACACAGATATTCCTGAATCTAGTCACAGATGGAGTAAAAGCTTCTACCATCTGGTTTATAGGTGAAATTACTTAATTGCATGTATAATTAGACTATGCACTTGTCCAAAAGATAAACATTTCCTATTTTAGAGAAAAAAATGCAAAATTAAATTAGTTATAATCTTCAATCCTTTTGCACTGGACTTCTACACCATACTACCTCAGTTCCTAAAATACAGCATCAAAAATTAAAACACAGTTTACTAAACAAAAGGGTTTACAGCATAACCAATTACTTTTGCTACATATATACCTCAGAATTAATTATACTGGCTGTGGGGATGGGTTTCACTTAAAAGACATAAAAATTTAAAACGTATGGTAAGGAATACGAAATTTAAACAGTGACAACATAGATATATCCCTGGAAATAGCAAACATCTCCAAAGCAAATATTCCTAAGGAACATCCTCTCGTCCAAACCGCTTGGGTTAGGTTTATTTTTATAGGCCGTTGCTAACACAATAGCATGCTTAGAAATGTTGGAACCTGTCAAACAATGGAACCAATTTTAAAAAACACTGTACTAAATAAATACTTTGGTAGATGTCAAAGCAGCTTATCTCTAAGGAAAGATTTTAAAATTGCAGTAATGATGGCAATACTAGATAAGCAAACAAAACATAAAATTTTACTAACACTGAAATAAATCATTTATAGTAGAGGAAGATAATTAAAGATGACTTTATACATAGAATAACAGTATTCAAGTAATACATTTGCTTAGAAAAGATACTTTAAAACTGTTATTTCCTTGATTAGAGATTATAAATATCTAAAATAGCAGCATGTCCCTCATTTTCTATTATTAACTATAATTGTTTAGTTTTTTATTTTTGTCTCACACAATTAGATAAACGATAGTGCCACTTATTGATATGTGGAAAAATAAACAGGTTTGGGGTGCAGAGATCAGAAGTTCATTTTTGGACACGTTAAGTTTGAGGTTTCTATGAAGCACCCAAGGAGAGATTTCAGAGAGGTGTTTGGATATGTGAGTATGGGACTGAAAATGTAAAAACGAATGAATGAATGAGTAACAGCGCAGTGCTTTAGAGCACTTTAGACACCAGAGTCTCTGTGGTTTTGCATCCTAGCTTTGCTATTTAGCAGCTGTTGACCTTAACAAGTTATCTAACTCTGTGCCTCAGTTTACTTATATCTAAAATGGGGATAAGTAGGTTAATGTGATAATTAAGTAAATAAATATTTTTAAAATTTATAGCTCTCCCTACTCCCTACTCCCTCCTCCCTCCTCTCTCTCCCTCCACGGTCTCCCTCTGATGCCGAGCCGAGACTGGACTGTACTGCCGCCATCTCGACTCACTGCAACCTCCCTGCCTGATTCTCCTGCCTCAGCCTGCCGAGTGCCTGGGATTGCAGGCACGCGCCGCCACGCCTGACTGGTTTTCGTATTTTTTGGTGGATACGGGGTTTCGCCGTGCTGGCCGGGCTGGTCTCCAGCTCCTGACCGCGAGTGACCTGCCAGCCTCGGCCTCCCAAAGTGCCGGGATTGCAGACGGAGTCTCGCTCACTCAGCGCTCAATGTTGCCCAGGCTGGAGTGCAGTGGCGTGATCTTGGCTCGCTACAACCTCCACCTCCCAGGCGCCTGCCCTGGCCTCCCAAAGTGCTGAGTTTGCAGCCTCTGCCCGACCGCCACCCCGTCTAGGAAGTGAGGAGCGTCTCTGCCTGGCCGCCCATTGTCTGGGAAGTGAGAAGCGCCTCTTCCCGGCCTCATCCCGTCTAGGAAGTGAGGAGCGTCTCTGCCTGGCCGCCCATCATCTGGGATGTGGGGAGCGCCTCTGCCCCGCCGCCCCGTCTGAGATGTGAAGAGCGCCTCTGCCCGGCCGCGACCCCGTCTGGGAACTGAGGAGTGTCTCTGCCCCGCCGCCACCCCGTCTGGGAGGTGAGGAGCGTCTCTGACCGGCCGCCCCGTCTGGGAAGTAAGGAGACCCTCCGCCCGGCAGCCGCCCCGTCCGGGAGGTGGGGGGCAGCCCCCGCCCGGCCAGCTGCCCCGTCCGGGAGGTGGGGGGGCGCCTCTGCCCGGCCACCCTGTCTAGGAAGTGAGGAGCCCCTCTGCCCGGCCGCCACCCCTTCTGGGAGGTGTACCCAATAGCTCATTGAGAACGGGCCTAAATGACGATGGCGATTTTGTCGAACAGAAAAGGGGGAAATGTGGGGAAAAGAAAGAGAGATCAGATTGTTACTGTGTCTGTGTAGAAAGAAGTAGACATAGGAGACTCCATTTTGCTCTGTACTAAGAAAAATTCTTCTGCCTTGGGATGCTGTTAATCTATAACCTTATCCCCAACCCCGTGCTCTCTGAAACATGTGCTGTGTCCACTAAGTGTTAAATGGATTAAGGGCGGTGCAAGATGTGCTTTGTTAAACAGATGCTTGAAGGCAGCATACTCATTAAGAGTCATCACCACTCCCTAATCTCAAGTACCCAGGGACACAAAGACTGCGGAAGGCGGCAGGGCCCTCTGCCTAGGAAAACCAGAGACCTTTGTTCACATGTTTATCTGCTGACCTTCCCTCCACTATTGTCCTATGACCCTGCCAAATCCCCCTCTCCGAGAAACACCCAAGAATGATCAATAAATACTAAAAAACAAAACAAAACAAAAAAACATAATTTTGCTTTTTATAAATTTTGACTGTTATTATTCCCATCAGTAGCAACAGCAGCTGTTACAGATGATATTTAGTTTTTGGAGGGGATAGGGTATCTAAGGGGAGTGGAAAGAAGATCCCAAGTTCAAGCCTTGACTAACCTCCAAATTAGAGATCAGGAAAATAATAAAGGGAACTTAAATGTTCCCTGCCTGTGACGTAGGAAAAATTAGACCAGGACGGTGTCATGGAAGCCAAAAGAGGAGAATCTGTCAAGAAGGCCCGGCCGGGCGCGGTGGCTCACGCCTGTAATCCCAGCACTTTGGGAGGCCGAGGCGGGCGGATCACGAGGTCAGGAGATAGAGACCATCCCGGCTAAAACGGTGAAACCCCGTCTCTACTAAAAATACAAAAAATTAGCCGGGCGTAGTGGCGGGCGCCTGTAGTCCCAGCTACTTGGGAGGCTGAGGCAGGAGAATGGCGTGAACCCGGGAGGCGGAGCTTGCAGTGAGCCGAGATCCCGCCACTGCACTCCAGCCTGGGCGACAGAGCGAGACTCCGTCTCAAAAAAAAAAAAAAAAAAAAAAAAAAGAAGGCCCAAACACTTGGTAGCACACAGACTTGCATCTAGCTAGCTGGTGTAGTAGAGCAGCAATAATTCCCTAATGTTGGTGGCTCTCCAAGTTTAGGTCCAGCTACATGCCCAAAAAGGAAGACATTTTTTGGGCACATGCCCCTGAGGAACTTCTTCCTGGTGTTGCAGCATCCCTTTCACAGTCCTTATTTTTTGACTTCTAAGTCTATTTCAACAAATAAAAATAAAAGTATTCCTTTAAATAGAGAGTGTCTTCATTCAAACCAGGAAGCACTGCTATATAAAGGGAAGTAATTCTTAAATATATTCAGAGTAATTCTATTCTTGAATGTCTAGGGGAAAAGAAAGGGCTTTGTGTAGAGAGAGCCTGAGTAGAGAAAACAGTACTGTCAAATACATTTACATAGTCAGTATTCAGAGTCTCCAACAACATTAAAGGAATAGAGTATGTTATTTTCACAAGTAGAGCGTCTCCCTAAGTCAGATTCCAGAAATAAGCTACCATTCTAACCTCCTGTTTAATACTTTGGAAAGCACAGAGATGAAAATGCAGCACAAGTCCTTACTAAAAGATCCTATGTTACTGGGTAGGTAGTATTTGGTTAAAACAAACAACTTTGGAAAATAGAAACCATACCCACTCAATTTATGTATAAAATGCGTATATGCATTTTTTAGGAGGCTTAAACTAATGTTTGAAAGATTTTTTTCAACAGCATTGAAATGCCAGGTTTTATTTTCCAGAAGACATTAGTGAATAATTTTATAATAATTAATACTAAATGATGATAACAAGAAGGTTCCAGACTCTAGTTTTGGGTGTGAACAATTGCTGAGTTTTGTTCTATTTCATGCATATTTGACCCAGGTCAGCTTTATCACGAGGAAGGGGCAAGGAGGGGGTTTTTGCTAGTAGATAACTGAAAACCATGCAAACTCATTGCCATTAACAAGGTGCAGCCAAAACTGACATTATTCATGTGTATAAATCCTATGTATCCACAATACTGATATACAATAGAATTGCTTCCTATGATATTTTGTTATTTATATATGCTGCAGGTTTCCGTCAAGGTAGAAGTATCTTCTGTTTATGAAAATAAAAGATCTCTTTGATAAGGTTCAGATAGCAAAGGAACAAATAAGTCAGAGGCTGCACATGTGTAGCAACCCCATCCCCCTGAGAAAAGCTGTGGGGATGGTTCTTGTAGGCACACTGATGGCAATACATTTCCTCAATTTTAGGATTCATAAAAGTTTCACATTTTTGACAGTATGCATCTCAAAATTGATTTTGTATGTACAGTTATAATATTTCTCATATTAATATATTACCCCGCTGTTTTAAAGGAGGTAGCTCTGTAGGAAATAATATAAAATCAGCACCAGATATATTAATTTTAAAAAGTATAGAACAATGTGTGTACCATTCTATCATTTACATTTACATACTTTTTTTTTGAAGGATAGATAGTTATATATTGTTATATGCATATTTTATTTCTAGAAGGAATCACAAAGAACAGGTAAGGGCTACATGAAAGGGGAGGAAGCAGAGGTAGGCAGAGGCCTATTTTTCATTGTATGCCCTTTTCATCTTTGGATTGTTTATGTTTTACTTATTTAAAAGTACAGTAATTGACTTTCAAAAGAAAAGACCAATACTACATATTGTTATAGATACCTGCATACAAAGTCAGCACATAAAAACTTTTTTTTTTTTTTGAGACAGAGTCTCCCTCTGTCTCCAATCTTGTGAGCCAAGATTATCACATAATCTTGGCTCACTGCAACATCTACCTCCTGGGTTCAAGCAATTCTCCTGCCTCAGCCTCCCGAGTAGCTGGGACTACAGGCACACACCACCATACCGGGCTAATTTTTGTATTTTTAGTAGAGATGGGGTTTCATCATATTGGTCAGGCTGGTCTCAAACTCCTGACCTCTGGTGATTCACCCGCCTCAGCCTTCCAAAGTCCTGGGATTACAGGTGTGAGCCACCGTGCCCAGCCTAAAACCTCTTATAGTAGGCCAAGGTGTGGCGGTATGCTCATACAATGAATTGCACTATTCAGCAATAAAAAAGAAACAGACTGTTGATACATGCAACATCACAATGGCTCTTTAAAACGTTATGCTGAGTAAGAGAACCTTTGTACAAAATAGAGCATACTTTATCATTCTATTTACATGAAGTCCTAGAATAGGCTAAACAAATCTATCACAGAAAACAATCACAACTGTGGCTGCCAGGGAAGGGAGGTTATGTGAAGGGGTGGGGGTCGCCTAGGAAAGGGCATGAGATAACTTTCTGGGGTGGCAATTATGTTCTATGTTTTGATAGGTGTCTCGGCTACATAGGTATACACAGTTGTCAAAACTCAATAAACGTTCACTTAAGACATGTACATTTTATTGTAAATGAATTTTGCCTCAAATGAGAAAATAATCCGTAAGCAAATTTTGAACACTACCTAATGATATGCATTCTGGAGTATTTAGTATTTAGTATTAAGTGTCTAAATGTCTGCAATTTACTTTGAAATTGATCAGAATAAAAAAGATGGGTTGATGGACAGATGAACATCATGATATGTGACAAAACAAGTGTAGTTACATGTTAATGGTAATATCCAGGTGGCAGGGATATAGGTGTTCACTATGAAATCGTTTTAGATTTTCTGTATGTTTGAAAATTTTCAAAACACAATGTTGAAAATAGCTTTGAAAATACTTCTAGTTAAGTTTTTCTTTAAAATGCATGCATTGTACATAGCGGCATCTCTGTCAATACATATTGGTCTACCTCATTCATACTAAGCATAGTGAGTTTAATGAGGTGTTTATAAATATTATATTAAATTTCTAGAACCATCATGGAAGAGACTATGGTTAAAATATGTAAAGGAGATACTGAATGTACATCTTGATTTGCAAATACGAAACCATACCACACGTAAGTTTGGCTTCTAACAACAGTTCAATGCCTCTCCCATGACCTACTCTAAGCCAGTTCACTCTGCTCCCAAAAGGAAGTGTTGGCAGCATTACATTACATTCATAAGGACAGTGAGTGAAGATCCCAAAGGGCATGAAAGCTACTGCACACATCACACATCTCTCTTTTCTCTCTTCTTTCCCTTAGTGGACATAAAGCCCCACTCACCATAGCTTCCTCCTCCCCTTCCTCACACTGCTTTACTCTCCATACCAGCTGGTGTGGTGAGCCCAAGAAAGGGAACGAATCTGTTTGCTCTTGCAGATGCTCTGCCTCTTGCTTAGATGCTGCTAGGTGTACATTACATCAGCCTACTTCAAAGGATCATTAGATCCAACACTGAGGTTTATGCTGGGAGGGAATACTGGGGCTCTGGCCTTTAGTGCAGCAAGAGGAATCTGTGGTTCGGCCTAGCTTACCTGGATACTACAATGGGTTATGGTCACAGCTCCAGCTGGAAGTCAAGCTTTTCTTCCCCTGTGTGACTTGCTCTGCTATAGTGCCTGTGTTTCTGTGCGCATGTGGGCATTCATCACTCAGGGGCATCAAAAGAAGGAATGGCAGCAGTGTAGGTTGGAATTGGGTTGTTCCTGGAAGTCTAGATCAAATACCCACTGGCAGCATCCTGACACTGCAGATTTTCAATGTAAACCACTTATCTTTTTTTCCCGCTCAACTATATGTTGAGCACATATTTTCAAATCAATATATACAGATTTATCTATCCCATACTTTCTAATCTTTAAGTAGGAGTTGATGAGTATCCTGGCCCAGTGATAATTAAAGCAGATGTAGTAAGATCTGCTCTAATAGATCAAGGACTATAGGATCTATCATCTTCCCTCAACAGAACACCCACAATGTAAGGGCTCTAAACTAGGGTATCAGGGCCTTGTGACAAGTCACAATACTTTTACTGTGTGACATTCTATATTTTCTGTATGTGTGCATTACTACAATACGCCAAAAAGTGACGCAGTCCATCTGTATTTGGTGTACAGGATGCCAAAAACCATAGCTTGCTGGATTATTTGTTTTCCTGATGAATTCAATTACTAGATGTTTTGCATTATAAAAATATATTCCAGTTTCCTGTTTATATTATAGAATAATGTATAAGAAAATTGTGAGAAAATGGTAATTTTGGAATTGATAAATTATTGAATTGCTATTATATATCATTCTTACCTCATTTGAAGGAATGGTGGCAAAGGGCTTGATGACAGCAGCTAATGGAATCTGAGCTTGCTTAGCCATATCTGACGTGCATGGAAAACAGTATGTTGTACAACGGATGAATCGAGGACTGGCATTTCCTGAAACATTCAAAAGGATACACTTAAAACTTGTTTAGAAAAAAACCTTCCCTAAGATATTCAAATATTTATAAAGGTACTTCTAGATAATGCATTGCATTATTTCTTATTTGTAAAACTCTCTTCATGATTTGTTTTTTAAAAAAGTAGTATTGTGCAATTCTACAATCTATATTCTAGGCATACTGTAATTTCTTACAAAATAAAAATACTCTGAATCCTACTGCAAAGATATAAAAGAAGTATCTTAGTTATTATTATTTTCCATAAGCAGAGTCTTAATATAGCCTTACTATATATTTGAGAGGCATTTAGATGCAATGGAAAAAATAAAACAAAGAGACACACAAATATGACAGAACAAAACTTTTGAATCACAATCATTTCTTCTTCATCCTCTTCTATCTGCTTATGGGAAAGGTAAGCATTTGTATACTATTTCATATTAGCAAGTGATACTTTGTCAAATATGATTCCATTTGACTATTTTTTTCTAAATTTGGAAATTGAATTTCAAAATGAAAATTCTACTTATAATAGAAATATTATTTTCAAAAACACCCTAAACTATTTTTAATAGATGTTAGGCTTCCTGACCAAAATATCTTTACTTCATGGCATATCCGAGTGTTAAAACAATATCTATGACATAAAGAATATTTGTATCACTAGAATAACTTATCTAAGATAAATTTTGAAATAAAATATTATGACTAAAAGAATGTAATCATCAATCAAATGTTCACTGAATGTCTAAGACATTTCAGGCCCTGTCCTAGGTGCTTGCAGAGCTTATGTTCTTGCAGAGGACACAGACAATGAATATTACGCCTAATAAAAGTAAATTATATAGGACATTAGAAGGTGATAAATGCTGTGAAAAAAGCATATCTAGTGAAGGGGTACCAAGAAGTGGCAGGCAGATTGCAATTTTAAATACTTACAAGGTAGGCCTTATTTAAAAGGTAACATCTGAGCAAAGAGTCATAGGAGGCAAGCGATTTACCCTAGTGGGTATCTGGGGAAGGACATGCCCGGAGTAGTGACAGCAGGAGGCCCATGGAGCTGGAATGGAGCCACTGTGGGGGGCACCAACTGGTGTGGAGTTCAGCGAAGCAACAGGCCAGATGAGGTAGACTCTTGAGACCATTTTAAGCCCTCTGGCTTTTCTCCCAATGAAATGGGGAGCCACTGATGGCTTTAGAGCAGAGGAGTGTCATGCTGTAATGTAGGTTCCTCTGCCTGCATTTTCAGAATGGATTGCAGTGGGGAAGAGTAGAACCAGGGAGACCATGTGGAGGCTGCTGCAGTACCAGCCTGACAGGAGTAGAAGTGTTGAGATGTGGCTAAATTCTGGATATATTTCAAAGGTACAGTGACTTATTTGTTAAGGGCATATAAGGTGTGAAGATGTGAGTGTGAGAGAGCGTGATGGTCAAGAACGACTCTTAAGATTGCTGGCCTGAGAAACCAGAAGCATAAAATTGCCACCAACTGACAAAGTAAAGGCTGCAGAAAGGGAAGGGATGTTTTAACGGGTGTGCGGGTAGAGATCAGGAATCTAGTCAGGGACATGTCCAATTTGGGAAATCTATTACACAGTCATACAGCAATGCTGAGTAGACAATTAGATATGTACATCTGGAGACTGGGCTAAAGTCTGGGGTGGAGATACACATTTGGGAATTCTTAGCATATAGATGGTATTTGAAACCATGAAACCAGGTTAAAACCACCAAGGGAATAATTATGGCCAAAGAAGAGAAGATGACCAAGTACTGAGCCCTGGGGTCCTCCAAGATAAGGAGGTCAGAGGAGGAGGAGAAAGCAGCCAAAGGACTGAGAAGGATGAAACGAGGAGCCTAGCGTCCTGAAGTGAAGTGTAGGATGTGTATCACGCGGAGGCACGATCATCTGTGCCAGATGGTGCTGCTGGAGATCCTAAAGAGGCAGTTTTGGTGGAATGCTAGGGAAAAATCTGCTCAGAGTGAGTTTAAGAGATAACAGAAGGAGAAGAATTGGCAATAGTCCTTTTAAGTTTTGCTGTAGAGGGGTGGAAAGAAAAGAGTGCTAGCTGGTAAGGGAAGTGGATCAAGAAAACATTTTTATATTTTAAGATGAGAGAAGGTTTTTTTTAAAAAAAGATGGGAATCATTCTGTAGAAAGAAAAATACTGATGATTTAAGAGGAAGAGGGGAAACTTACTGTGGAAATATACTTGAGTGGTGCACAGGGAGAGAGGCTGGCTTTCGACTGGAGCACAGATTGCTCACTGAGGGCCAAATGCAGGTGGGCACAGTGGGAGGATGCGCTGAGACTGGGGGTCCACGTGGTGGTGGGGTGCATGGAATTTCCTTTCTGAAAGGAGGATGTAAAGCAGCTAAAAGAAAGATGCGAGAGAAGGTGCTGCAGGTTTGAAAAAGTATGAAATAGTCACTAAGGAGAGTGGAAAAGTGAAAAGACTTGAGAAATACAGTATGTTGGGAAGTTTATGGTCCTGAGCTTAAACAGCGATTGTGGCGGGGTTGTGAGCCTCTCTCTGGCCATGTTTTGCTGCACAGATGCAGACCTGAAATGAACGGGAGGTTGGACTTAAAAAAGCTTTTATTCTGTTCATTTCCAAGCTACTAGTGCCAGATTTCACAGTTTTTAGGACAAACTGGAAATCCGGATTTTTATATAATGTATTCTGATTTTTAAATAATGACAATTAATTCAAATAGAAACAGAAGAAATTACTGTGTAGGACAAATTAACATGACTGCAGGCTGAATCCAGTCCTTGAGCTGCTCTGCAGAGCATCTGAGAGAAGGGGAAGACACAGTACTAACAACAAGGGTGATAATAATAACAGCAGCCAATGCGCTAGACATCATTCTAAGACTGTTACGTGTAAACTCATTTAGCCCCACAATAACTCTATGGATTAATATATTTATAATCTACTTTACTGAGGAGGAAACTGAGACACCGGGAGGTTATGCGACTTTCCAAAAGTCAAAGAGTTAGTAAGTGGCAAAAGTGGCATTAGAACCAATTATAAATTTCTACAACATCCCAGAAAAATTGAGTCCAGGTTGTCAAGGCCTGGAATGCTGGATGAGGAGTTGAGACCAACCCTGTCTGCCCATGGGCAACCGTGACATTTTTTTAGTCAGGGTTAAAAAAAGGCCAGTCACGGTGGCTCACGCCTGTAATCCCAGCACTTTGGAAGGCCGAGACGGGTGGATCACAAGGTCAGGAGATTGAGACCATCTTGGCTAACACGGTGAAACCCCGTCTCTATTAAAAATACAAAAAAATCAGCCGGGCATGGTGGCGGGCACCTGTAGTCCCAGCTACTCGGGAGGCTGAGGCAGGAGAATGGCGTGAACCTGGGAGGCGGAGCTTGCAGTGAGCTGAGATCGCGCCACTGTACTCCAGCCTGGGCGACAGAGCAAGACTCCATCTCAAAAAAAAAAAAAAAATCGAACTTTTTTTGGCAAGGGTAAAATGATCAATTAAGTAATTGAAGAAAATCAGTCTGCCCAAAGTTAGATAGCTTCTAGGAACAGAAAAAGAATACAGACAGGTAAACTGGTCCATTGCTTTAAGAGCCCAGGTAAGCAGTAACAGAGGAGGAAACCAGACTTTTGGCAGCAGGAATACAAGTAAAGGAACTCTTAGGTAATATTAATATATGTAAGTATGCTTGAATGCTTAATAGTGTTTGTTTCATATTTAAACAAAACTTTCCTTATTATCATCATTACACAACGTTATACAGACCATGAACTAAGAATTTTAAAAGTATTTGAAAGTTTATTTTAATTTTCCATTGCACTCAATTATACTCGTTAAAATTACCAATAAAATATTGAAGCTGGATATTTGTTACCTTTAAAGGGTTTATTTTTTGACAGTGAAATATGCATAAATGAATGAGCTCTAAAGGTGACTAAACAAATGCTTCGTATAGGAAGATAATGTGCACAAATAATAAAATTTGAAAAAGCAATTGAGAATTTGTTTCTATAAACAGGTATACAACAGTGGGGCATAAAAGGTCTGGCTACCGTGGATAATTTAGCAACCACAGGAACTAAGATTTGAAACTTTTTGAGATGCTTAATAAAGAGCATTATGTGATAATTTTACTGAAAACATTCAATAAATTCATTCCACAAACATTTACTAAGCAAAGCTCCAGGAAAGGGCTTAGAAACAGAATACAGTAAAGTCTCTGGCTTCACAATCTAGTTGGAAAGAGTGACAGTAAAAATAGATCATTGCAACATAGCATGGTAAGCATCACAGAAGAGCAAATAGATTAAGAAACAGAAGAAGGGAGACAATGACTCTGTCACTTGGACCAGAATTGACCACACGAAGGATGAGGTGCTTGAACAGGGTCTTAAAGGATGGGAACCAAAGGACAAGTGGAATCTTAAAATAAGATCCTGGAGCCAAAGGCAAAGGAATAATATTTTAAAGTTTAAGAATATTTTAAACTTTTCTTTGTTGGCTCTGATCCTAACCAGCTGTATGGCCTTGGTCAAGCCACTTAACCTCCCTGGGCCTTATCCTTACATCTGTAAAGTGAGAGAGCTGAGCAAATAAAGTCCAAGGTTCCTTCCAGCTCTATATTGTACTTATGTCTGTGAATTTCTGTACAAGTCTGAGAATCTTGAGCTACATCCTAAAAAGCTTATTACTATTGGCAAATAAGCCAGGTCAGACAAAGGGGCTTCATAGCAAAAGGGTATGACTGGGCCAACTTTGGGGCTCCATACCAGGGCAGCTCTCTCTTCTTGCCAAGGGCTAGGCTGCAGGCTAAGGAGAGAGAACGATGACTGAGACCCTGCCACCTTACTAGTCCTGCCTGCTCACCCACTCCTTCCTTCATACTCTTTCCATACTATACGATCCAGCAATTTCACTTTTAGGTACAGTATATACTCCAAAGAAGTGAAAGCAGGGGCTCGCATAGATACTTGTACGTAAATATCCACAGCAGCATTACTCACAAGAGCCAAAAGGTAGAAACAACTCAAATGTCCTTCAACAGATGAATGGAAAACAAAATGCAGTATGTATAAAAGACGGAAAGTTACGTAGCCTTAAAAAGGAATGAAATTCTGATATACGCTACAAGGTAGATGAACCTTGAAAATATTATACTAAGTAAAATAAACCAGACAGAAAAGGGCAAATATTGTATGATTCTCTCAAATGAGGAGCCTAGAGTAGGCAAACTCATAGAGACAGAACGTAGAACAGAGTCTACCAGGGGCTGGGTGGGGTGGAAGAATGGGGAGTTATTGTTTAATGGGTACAGAGTTTCAGTGTGGGATGATTTTTTTTACAGTTCTAGAAACAGGTAATAAGAATGATTTGGTTGCACAACATTGTGAATGTAATTAAGGCCACTGAATTGTATACTTAAAAATGGTTAAAATAATAAATTTTATGTTATATATATAGATTTGACCACAATTTAAAAACTACCCACAAGTCCCTCAAAAAACAAAAAGCTATGCACATGCTGTTACTTGACATGTATTATGCTCTCTCCCACTACCGTACTTCAGCACATTCACCTCCTCTGCCTGGCAACCCTCCCCTCCCCCATCTCCCTAGTCTTGTGGGTTACACTTGCTCACTGAAGACACAGTTTGGGTGTCCCCAACTTGGGCAAGACAGGCTGGGTCAGTTATCTGGTTGGTGACCTCACATTTAAGTTCCCATGGCAACATGTGTTTTATCTTTCTAATATAACATTTATCTCACTGAATTAATATTTAGTTATCTTTTTCCTTGCCAGATTGTTCACTCATTTAAAAAAAGAGCTGTGTCTTTTATTTCTGAATAGAGGCAGTGAAGTTAAGAACACAGGCACTTGCATCAGAATGCTTGAGTTCAAATTCTAGCTTTGCCTCCTACTAGCTACATTTCTTAGGTAAATTACCTAAGCATTCTGTGCCTCAGTTTTCCACTCTGTAATATGAGAATGATATTAATGCCTATCTCGTAACATTACAGGGGGATTAAATTATTCCATATAAAGTGGTTAGAAAATTGTCTTGATACATACTAAGTACTTGCAATTATTAGCTATAATAATAATGTTAATTTGTATATTTTTATTATATTATTAACCTCAGGTTTAGCATAGAGGCCTGGCACATAATAGGTACTGAATAAACATTTTCTGGATGTATGCATGAATGAGTGAAGTTCTGAACAAGTGGAATTCTGATCCCAGATAGCTCCAAGATTTGTGGGAGAGACCTATCTAAACCACAATAAAATTTAATGTGATACGGGTGAAATATATATGAAGCATTATGGGAAAAGACACTGGAGAAGACTTGAAAAAGAAAATTTAAATTGAGTTTAGAAGAACTAAATGTTTCCCAATTAAAGGGCTGAGAGTCATACATTCCAAGTACATGTGTCCGATAAATATTTATTGGTCAACTAGTATGTTCTAGATACCAGGTGAATTTCTAAGGATACAACAAAAAACCATCCTCAGGCTGTTGCAGAGAAAACAGTACAATGTGAGAATCAGAGGCATGAGGAGAAAGACGATGAGATTGGTATATGAAGGCAATTGTAAAGCAAGAAACAGGTGGGAGATGAGGCTGGTCAGGAATATTCTTTAGGTTGAAAAAAGCCCCAATATTGTTTTATATTTATTTTAAATATTAAATAAATAGATATTAAAACACTTATATAATACTTATCATTAGGTTGAAATGAAATTGCCACCTTTTATAGGTCACAGTGATAGAAAAAAAAAATCAACAATTTCATATACCTCAACCTATTATCTACCAAGCCCTAAATCCTTTACAAATATGAACTCATCTAACTAGTTGGAATGAGTTCTAAGTAATGAGGAAGAAACAAATTATTTTTACACTTGATCTTAGCCAAAAGGCCGAGAAGGAAAAATTATTTTTAGAATAATAAATGAAGTCATCTGAATTTTTTTAATATTAGTATCTACAACACCTATAATTTACATGAAACCCTTCTGTGTATTGAGCCCTCTATACACATATAAGCATACTTATGTGTATGCATGCATACACACACACACACACACACACACACACACACACACACATATACAAAGACTCATGTACACAGTCACCTCTAATTCTTACACTGGCTCTGCAGAGCCGGTCTTAGTCTCCACATATTACTGAGGGTGATGCTGAGGTTGAGAGAGAGAGGTGAAATGGACAAAGCTCACTTGGGCAGTAAGGAGTGGAGTCTGAATTCTCCCAATCAAGTCTCTTTCTACCTCACTGTGCTACCCACTCTATAAGGTTAGCTCTGAAGGTGGCACAGAGGATAGAGAGAGGATCCCCAACTAGAACTTGGCTAGCTCAACAACTCTGGGATGAGACAAAATGCTTGTTTGTATACTGATGTTATGCTTCTAGGATTGAGTACATGATCCATTAAAATGGTATATTCAGAATCTCAGACATCAGATTTCATCGGGCTATATTCTTAACTTGTCATCAACAATAGGGTAATATATTCTTGAGCTGAGAGGTATGGAACAGCAGAGATGCAGCTCAGCTTCTCCTCTTTCCAGTTTAAATGTGGGAAAACAGAACCCAAAATGTTAAAAATATCTGCTTAGAAAATATTGTTGGGGCTAGAACCAGGTCTGCTAACATCTCAAACAGTCTAATTCCTTACTGCTCTGCTCGTGCCAGCTTTCCAACATAGTGAATAAATTAAACCAAAGTAGGGTATAAACTAATTTAAACCCATAAATTAAAATAAATAATTGTTTTAAGCAGATATATTGCTCTGTACCTCACTGGAACTCTCCAGACTTCCATACGCACAGAATAAAATTCAGTTGATAGCATCCTCTTGGTACTTGAGGGATTAACAGAGAACTGATTATCAGCTATAATGGGGTTTTCCATTATTAAGAGCATTATTGAAGGGTGTCAGTGTATTTGCTTTAAAAACGGTGAGAAATTTTAAAACCTTAATAAATGGCATAATTAAAAACAAATACCTTGGTCTTGTATCATGCAATCTGTAGTGACCAGGGGAGGGATCTGGCCTCTGGTGTTGGTGGCATAAACTTGTCCTCCTCTGCTGGCTCTATCATTCTCAATCACCTGGATCTGATAAATAAGACATCAAGAGCCCGTTAAAGTAGGTTCCAGTTCTTCCCAACATTCCATTTAGAGAGTACCCTTGCTCTCTCCTCCCTCCTTTTCCCCTCCTTCTCAATATTCACACACACAGAGATGCACACACAGTCTCACACACTCACACAAACTGGCATTTTCTAAATCCTTTCTGTTCATTTCAGATCAAATTGTCATGGAAAAACCTACCATGTCTTCAGTTAAAATGGTTACAATTTTAGAATAGTAGTTTCCAATTCTATTTTGTAATTCTTTAGCTTCAAATCTGACAACGTGACCCTTCAGAGAACTTTATTTTTATCCAATTTGTTTATTAGAACATAGGTAAGCATTTTCTTTCTTTTTTATTTATTTATTTTTTTTCATTTTTTGAGATGGGGGTCTCACTCTGTCACCAAGGCTGGAGTGCTGTGCCGCAATCATAGCTCACTGCAGCCTTCACCTCCCTGACTCAAGCCATTCCGAGTAGCTGGGACCACAGGTGGGTGCCACCACACCTGGCTAATTTTCTTTTTCTTCATCTTTTTGTAGAGACAGGGTCTCCTCTCCCTATGTTGCCCAGGCTGGTCTCAAACTCCTGGGTGCAAGCAATCCTCCTGCCTTGGCCTCTCAAAGTGTTGGTGTTACAGGTGTGAGCCACTGCACCTGGCCAGCATTTTCTTAAAAAAAAAAAAATCTGGTAAGAAAAGAAATTGAAAACAACGATTTAAAGGAAATACTGGCCTGGCACAATGGCTCATGTCTGTAATCCCAGCACTTTGGGAGTCCGAGGCGGGAGGACCACTTCAGCTCAGGAGTTCAAGAATAGCCTGGGCAACAGAGTGAGGCCTCATCTTTACTAAAAAGGTTTAAAAAATTAGCCAGGCATGGTGGCACCTGACTGTAGTCCCAGCTACTCTGGAGGCTGAGGTAGGAGGATTGCTTAAGCTCAGGAGTTCAAGGCTGCAATAAGCTATGATCGTGACACTGCATTCCAGCCTGGGCAACAGAGCAAGAGCCTATCTCAAAATAAATAAATAAAGGAAATACTCTTTCAAATAAAAGAAACTTCTAAAAGGCTAAAAATTATCTCAGAAGAAATGATTTATAATATACAACCTATAAAAACCTTAACTTTCTCCTCAAATGTCTTTTGATCTTCAATTTGCTTTTCAAGTTTCCCCAACTGCATCCCTGGTTCCTTGAGATGTAAGACACAAATGGTATAAAGCAATCCCATGTGGTTTTTGCCCGCTGCAGAGAAGTCAACAGCAGCAAAAGTCTCTTAAGTTCTGTCATCTAATGTGGAAACATCTGATATTTCTCTACTAAAAACAATTGTTATTGATGAAGAACATAAGAGATACAAAATATCTTTCTGTTCTAATTGTGTAGGGGTGAAAATTATGAGCAAAATCTAGTAGTGTGGAGTTAAAAAGAGAACAAGAAAGAATCCTAATAATTATGTTCCTCTTTCTCTTCTCCCTTCCCTCACTTCTTTCTTCATAAGAGAAACAAGGAGGAATAAAAGGAAAAAAAAATGGAGAGGGTGTAAGAAGAGGAAAAAAAAAAAATGGAGAAACAGGAAGTGTGTCCAGACTGGAATAGTGTGTCCAAACGACACCAAGGGTGCAGTTTTTAATATTCTTAAAACCATTAATAATATGAAAATTGCCTTCTGCCAAACTCTGAAATGTTGCTTTCTCTACTCTTCCCTCCCATTCCATCCACTCCAGCCCCCAGCTGGTACTGACAACACTGGTTTTATGAAATGTTGATGACAGATTTAGCCTGCCTTTAAGTCTACAGGTCTTCCCTCCTAATTTCATAGGATGTGAATTGTTATTAGATTAAAATATAAAATGGCTCCAAACATAACTGCTGTCAGACACAGATAAGACTAAAGCTACCATGAGCAGAGACAAAAAGCAGAGAAATCGAAACACTGTAATTATATTCTGTATTTTGACCACAAGGTTAATCGGATTCATTAAAAATAGAGTTGTTTTTTATCTCTTTGAGACAGGGTCTTGCTCTGATGCCCAGGCTGGAGTGCAGTGGTGTGAAGGGGGTTCACTGCAGCCTCAATCTCCTGGGCTCAAGCCATCTCTTGCCTCAGCCTCCCAAGTAACTGGGACTACAGGTGTGCACCACTATGCCCAGTTAATTTTTAAATTTTTTGTAGAGATGGGGTCTAACTTTGTTGACCAGGCTTGTCTCAAATTCTTGGGCTCAAGCTTTCCTCCTACCTTAGCCACCAAAAGTGCTGGGATTACAGGCATGAACCACTGCACCTGGCTTAGAGTCATTTTTATATTATCAATATTTATTGCAATCATTTCAACCAACAAAGAGTCAAATATGAAAGTGAGGTAAAAGCCATGATAATGTATTAGTGTGCATAATATACAGAACATATTGAATATAGTCTTCAATAGACTGAATTTCCAAAAAGTTTATTTTTAAATTATCCATTTGCAATTTACAAAGCCCTGCCTCCAAAGAAACAGTGTTATCAGTAGTAATTACATTTCTAAATTAATTCACATCTTGGATGGAATACTACAAAGAAAAGAATGGGAGATTAAAGTCGTTCTGATAATTGCTAAAAAATACTATACCTTTTTTATTTACCTCAAATGCATGTTCTTGAAAAACAGGCTTAGAGATAAAGAAGCTTCAATAGCAATTTTGACTGTGACTTGGTACCTGAAGGGTTTAGATTTAATGACAGTGATCCTTGATAATTCCAAAACTACTTCAAAAGGTATAGATTTATTTTTCCTTCAGAAGATGTGCTGCTAGAATTACGATTATATTTATCTGCTATGAGTGGAACATTCTGGGTTCATAAAACAGAATTGGAAAAGAGAAAAAAAGAAAGTGATTATCTTGAGATAAATGAACAAGGATAAGGGAAAAACAAGAAGACGTGTGTGCCATGCAAGAAAGGCTGCTTAGCAAGATCATGTGAATTTTGGAGTGGTAAGATAAAGTGGAGTAGAAAGCACCCAACTTCTTTTTTTTTTTTGAGACAGAGTCTTGCTCTGTCGCCCAGGCTGGAGTGCAGTGGCACGATCTTGGCTCCCTGCAAGCTCTGCCTCCCAGGTTCATGCCATTCTCCTGCCTCAGCCTCCCGAGTAGCTGGGACTACAGGCATGCACTACCACGCCCGGCTATATTTTGTATTTTTAGTAGAGACGGGGTTTCACCATGTTAGCCAGGATGGTCTCGATCTCCTGACCTCGTGATCCGCCCGCCTCAGCCTCCCAAAGTGCTGGGATTACAGGTGTGAGCCACCTCACCCAGCCTACAGAAAGCACCCAACTTCTGAATAATCCTCTTATGGACACAGAAAAGGAGGGAGGAAGAGTTTTGATGATGATACATTTCCTTACTTTCAAAATTTGTTTAAAACCACCACCAAAAGGGTTATAATAAGCACCTCGCTCAGGACTGGGGTATAGCAGAAGCTCAGTAAATGTGACTTTACATCTTTCTTTCCAGAAGGAAAAATTTATTTTGTTAGCAAAAGTATGTTCCTTTGGTAATAGGAATACAAACAGGCTCCATCTGACCATCACTATATCATTAGTTTTAAGATAAAAATAAATACTGGACTGATTTGTCTGTATGTATTATAAGGGTCCTGGATGAGTCACAGCATCTACTCCTTCTTGCTTTTGTTGCCCATTCATTCATTCATCCATTCAAGGAATATGTGGACATATACTATGTATCAGGCTGTGTTCTAAGTGTTAGAGACACAGCAGTGAACAAAACCATCATGGAGTGGACATTCTTGTGTGGAAGACAGGCAATAAGTAAACAAATGTACAAATAACACATCCAACATCAGGCAGTAATTCAGTGCTGTGGATATGGAGTGGTATGGATGGGGTGCCAGGGAGACTGAGGATGAGCAATGAGGACATTAAGGAAATGAGGACATGAGCTGTGCCCTGCATACATCTAGGGGAAGAGCATCTAAGCAGAATAAAGGCAAAGGCCTTGAGGCAGGACCATGCTTGGCCTGCCAAGGAACAACAAAGAGGCTGGTGTTGCTGGTCAAAGTGGGTGGAGAAGAGTGGTAAGAGACCAGGTCAGAGGTAGCTGTGTGTGTGTGTGTGTGTGTGTGTGTGTGTGTGTGTGTGTGTGTGTGTGTGTGTGTGTGTGTCAGAGGGTATAGGGGAGCCAGGGGTGGCAAATAATGTAGGGTCCTGCAGACTATTGTAAGAACTTTGGTTTTTAGAGTATTGGTTTCCGTAGCCATGACATGATCTGACTTAGAATTTGAATGGATGACTCTGGCTGCTCTGTGCAGACTGAAAGGGCAGGGAGACCAATTAGGAGGCTCTTATAAAAACCTAGGTAGGTAGATAGTAGAGGCTTGGAACAGGATGAATAGACAAGGTAGGACCAAGAGAATTAGCTAAAGAACTAAATATGAGATGTGCAAGAAAGGAAGAATCAGAGATGATCCCCAGGTTTTTGGCCTGAGGAGCCAGAAGAATGGAATTGGATCTGGATTTCAGGGAAAAGGTCTTTACTAGGAATATCTGCATTCTCATTCAAAGCCACGAAAATAGATGGAATTACCTAGAGTGGTGCTTTGCACACTTTAGTGTGCCTAGGAATCATCTGAAGAGCTTGTTGAAACACAGATTCCAGGGCCTTAGCCTTAGAGATTCTGATTCTGTAGGTTTGGGCTGAGGCCTGAGAACATGAATTTTTAATAAGCTCCCAGATGATGCTGATGGTGCTGTCCTGCGAGCACATTTTGAGAAGTGTTATCCAGAGAGTAAATGCCAATGGAGAAAGGAAAGGTCCAAAGACTAAGACTAAGTCTTTGGAAAGGTCCAAAGACTAAGCCTTAGGACACTTCTAACACTAGGTAGTCAGAGAGATGAGGAGACATTAACAAAGGAGACACAGCCTCCAGTGGGGTAGGCAGAGATATAAGCAAATGGGTGGAATCCCAGAAGCAAAATGTAAAAGTTTCATTTCAAGGAGAACGGAGTAAACAGATGTGTCAAATTGCTGCTGATGTCAAATCACATGAAAGCTGAGAATTGACCATTAGATTTGGTAACAGGAAGTCATTGGTAATTGGACTAGCACAGTATTGTGGGGTTGTGGTGATGAAATCTAAACTGGAATAGGATCAGGAGAGAGTGGGAGGAGATTAAGTGAAAACAGCAGATATAGGCAACTCTTTGGGAGATTTCTTGCTTTAAAAGAAAGCCAGGAGATGGGTGGAAACTGAATCCAGGTTTGGGGAGAGGCCAAGGAAAGCTTCTTTTATTAATGATGGGAGGCATCATAGGATATTTATATTCTGACGAGAATGATCTAGACACAGAAAAATTTAAGTTCGTTTTCAAAGAAGTGCAGATGATGCAAGAGAAAGGGGATGTGACAGTTAATTTTATGTGTCAACTTGGCTAGGCCATTTTTGGGACAAACACCAGTCTAAGTCTAAATGGTGCTATGAAAGTATTTTAAAAGTATTTTTTAAGATCTAATTAACATTTAAACAGGCAGGCTTTGAGTAAAGCAGATTACTTTCCATAATGTGGCTGGGCTTAATCTAATCAGCGGACAGCCTTAGGAGAAAAAGGTTCCCTGAGAAAGAGGAAAATTCTGCTTCCAGATGCCTTTAGACTTGAGCTGCAATATCAACTCTTCCCTGGGTCTCCAGCCTGCTGTCCTAACTTTCCCATTCAGTCCCCATAATGAAGTAAAACCATTACTTAAAATAAATCTCCCTCCTTCTTTCTTTTAAGCCATAAAAGTAATGACTGGCAATATGATTATCAATAAAGGCACTAAGAATTGTCAAAATTTAATTTCTAACATCTTACAGCAGTATACAGTATTACAAATCTTCAACTTTAAATTCAAATATAGAATAAGTGACAGATTACAAAAATAGCCAAAATTATCTACACTTCCCTGTATCAATGCTCTTTTCAATGTTGCCTTGCCCCTCCTCCCATCAAGAGGCAAAGTCCATTTTTGAATCTGAGGCAGTCTTGGGACTTGCTTTGGCCAAGAAAATGTAGCAGAAGTAGCGATGTGCCAGTTCCAAGCCTAAGCTTCAAAAGGCCACGTACACTCCTACCTTCCCTTTTGGATGTCTGCCACCCCATGAACAAACCCAGTATACCGTACTTGACAATGTGGCCTGGTCATTCCTCATCAACAGATGGGTACCAAACACAAGACACACAATTGACACTATCTATGATGGGCAGAGTGGTGGCCCTCAGAAAGATATGTCCATGTCCTAATCTCTGAAATCTGTGAATATTACTGATATGGGAGGCGGGCAGGGAAGTGCTGGGTAGAGAAAGGTGGGTCCCTGGTTAGGGCTCTACCCCCATGGACCTAGGTGAGGACAGGCACTCATCCTTCCGTGCCCAAATGTTGCATTTTCCAAAACCACCCTGGCCCGCCATACCCCCATCCTGGGCCTATAAAAACCTGAGTTCCTAGTGGGGAGACACAAAGGCAGCCAGACGTGGAGAGGAGCACATCAGCGGATAAAGATACAAGCAGCTGGACAGCGAGAGGACGTGGAGGGAGAATGCCAGTGGAAGAGCACACTGACAGACATGGGAAGAGGCGGAGTTTGGCCGGGGCAGTCGGAGACCCAGGGCCACTGAGTGGTGGGACTCCAGAGGAAAATCATCTCCCTCTGGCTCCCCCACCTGCTGAGAGCTACTTCTACTCAATAAAACCTTGCACTCATTCTCCAAGCCCATGTGTGATCCAATTCTTCCAGTACAGCAAGGCAAAAACCTGGGATACAGAAATCCCTCTGTCCTTGTGATAAGGAAGGGGTCTAATTGAGCTGGTTAATACAAGTCACCTATAGACGGCAAACTAAAAGAGCACCCTGTAACACACGCCCACTGGGACTTCAGCTGTAAACATTCACCCCTAGACACTGCCATGGGAGTCGGAGCCCCACAGCCTGCCCATCTGTATCCTCCCCTAGAGATTTGAGCTTTGGAGCACTGAAGAAGCGAGCCACACCCCCACTGCATGCCCTCCAAGGGGCACGAGGGAACCTTTTCCATTTCATTACCTCATATGGCAAAATAATTTTATTAAGTTAAGGATCTTCAGAGGAGGAGCTTATCCTGGCCCTGAATGGAATCACATGTATAAGAAAGAGGCAGAGGAATTTTGAGACAGACACCCAGAGAAGAAGACACAAAGAGAAGGAGGACTCAATGTGACCACAGAAGCAGAGACTGGAGTCACATGGTCACAAGCCAAGGAAGACCTGGAGCCACCAGAAGCTGAAAGAGCCTAGGAACAGATTCTCCTCTACAGCCTTCAGGGGCAGCACAGCCCTGCTTAGTCCGTTTTTCATTGCTTAT
The DNA here is from genome assembly GCF_000001405.40 of Homo sapiens. NCBI lineage: Eukaryota > Metazoa > Chordata > Mammalia > Primates > Hominidae > Homo > Homo sapiens. The sequence continues at coordinate 118,813,352 of NC_000004.12, forward strand.
AACACCTGAAACAGTAATTTATAAAGAAAAGACATTTATTTCTTATAGCTATGGAGGCTAAGACGTCCCAGGTTGAGGGGCCACATGTGGTGACAGCCTTCTTCTGGTGGAGACTCTGCAGAATCCCAAAGCGGCACAGAGCATGACATGGCAAAGGGGCTGAGCGTGCTAGCTCAGGTCTCTTTTCTTCTTCTTATAAGGCCACCAGTTCCACTCCCATGATAACCTATTAATCCATTAACCCACTAATCCATGAACGGATTAATCCATTCACAAGGGCAGAGCCCTTACGACCCAATCATCTCTCAACACTGCCACACTGGAGATTAAGTTTCAACATGAGTTTTGGAGAAGACAAATGTTCAAACCACAGCACTTGCCAACATATTGATTTTGGACTTTTGGTCCCCAGAACTGTGAGAGAATACATTTCTGTTGTTTTTAGTCACCTGATTTGTGGTAATTTGTTACAGCAGCCACAGGAAACTAATACATTATCCTAAACCATCCACACTCTAGCCAAGCCTCCAGCTGACCCCAGATGCATGAGCAAGCTCAGCCAAAATCAGATGAACCTGGCCCAGATTAGAAAAACCGGGAACCCACTGGGTCATGAGTATTAATAAACAGTAGTGCTAAGCTACTGTTTTGTAGCAGTTGGTTACACAGCATAAGTTAGCTAATATGGTAGCTTTTCCTGCTCCTTTATTTCTAATTCTTCAAGTACTTATGTTTATCGAACCTATTCAAAGACACAAAATAAACTGTAGCCAATTTCGTTATTATTCCAAAAGGATTTTACATCCCAATGCCATAAGATTGGCAGCTTCCCTGTCTCAGTGACATTGGGCTTTGTTTTATGACTTGCTTCAGCCAAGGGCACATGAGTGGTTATGACACATGCCACACATGAGTGGAAGCTTTAAGAGCTGTTGCACATTTTGGCCAGCTCTGTTTCCTCCCTATGCCACAAAATAGCATGTCCTCAGTAGTGTTTGCCTCTTCACGCTGGATTTTGGAATGATAAGGACGGATGAAGCAGAGCCTAAATCCAATCTGCAGCTGCCACAGCCTACATGTAAACTGAGTGATAAATACATCTTTGCAGTTGTAAGCAAAGTTGGGGATTGTTTGCTATGCAGAATGGCCTTGCAAAGCTTGACTGATAAAATTATTAAAGAGTAACCCTCCAAAGAAATCACTTGAGTGAAGAGTTTAGTTCTAACTTTACATTAAAAAAAATTTGTTTTTTTATTGTGCAAGATGTAAAATATACTTTCAGTCTCTATGGGTTTCTCTTATTGAAAAGGATCCTTTAGTTATCTAAAATAGCATATTTCTATAGGATATAGTCTGTTAATTACTCATTAGATAGCGATACTGCCAAAATATGTCAATGTAAACATTGTAGACACTGCCAAGTTTATATGACACCAAAAAAAAAGAAAAAAAAAATCAGCACAGGCTGCTCTTTCATGGAGACCTTTAGTATGCCCATAACCCTAGCATGCTTTCCCCCATACATGCATATAAGGAAGGAAGCCTTCCCTCTATGTGATGAGTATCTCCTAACTTCTATGCTAATGAACAGGATAAATGCTAACAAACTGATGAGTTGCTGAGAAAAATTAATGCTCCTTTGTGAGTGAGACTGTGAGAGTGAGAAGAGTACTTACTGGGCTAGGGATAGAGTCAGGATCCAGCTTCTTCTGGGGCTGTGGCGGACCAGCCATCTGTGCAGGACCTCCAGGGAAGCCTCCTGGGTAAGACAGTTGTGCGCCTGCCATCTGGGGACCAGAGTTGGCTGCTTGGAAAAAATTTAAAGAGAAATGACTATCATCCCAAATCCAGCATGTAAGACTTGTTGACGATATTATGCTGTTCAGTCAAGCATGTTGTATTTTTCATCTTATTAAAAAAAGCAAGGAGTCAAGTATGAGTGTGGTTCCCCATTTCTTTGCTCTTGCCAAAACTCTTCAAAAACTACCATTTCTTAAAAGTAAGTGACAGATACCTAGTAACATAGGAACAAAGCTGATTTTCAGTTAAGGGTTCCCCTGGGTAACACAAAGCCTTCCCCTGCACCCTGTCCGCCTTACCCTGCTGCGGAGGATATCCAGCACCCAAGGTCTGGCCTGGAAGAGGTGGGGGCTGGTACTGGGCATTTGGAGGAGGAGGCCCAGAGAGCCCATCTGGTCTGTACATTGGTAGAGGCAAAGGTGAGGCACCAGGACCATTGAGTGTGGTGGGTGGTGGTGGAAGAACTTGAGATCCAGGCTGCAAAATGGAAGGCTGTGGAGGTCGTGGAGGAGTCTGCAATGATGTGGCTGACAGAGGGCCAGGGGGTCCCTGGCTTGGAGGAGCCATGCCTGAACCTGTGTGAGAAAGGAGACCAGCCCACTTAAATACCACATTTCTCAACTCTCTGACTTCTGCAAAGTACATGACAGAGATGTTTGTTTTCCTGACATAAAGCAAGAGGACACCCTTAGAAACACATGTTTGGGTTTTTTGCCACAAATTGAAATCTTCATTCAGAAAATAGAACAAACGCTATTTTATACAACTGGGATTTTTTCTTTTTTTTAAGGACAGGGTCTTGCTCTGTCACTGAGGCTGCAATACAATGGCAAGATAATGGACCACTGTAGCCTCAACATCCTGGGCTCCAGTGATCCTCCCACCTCAGCCTCCCAAGTAACTGAGACTACAGGCACACACCACCACGCCAAGTTCATTTTTTTTTTTTTTTTTTTTTGTAGAGTTGGGGTCTCGTGATATTGCTCAGGCTGGTCTCAAACTCCTGGGCTCAAGCAATACTTCCTCCTTGGCATCCCAAAGTGCTGGGATTATAGGTGTGAGCCACCATGCCTGGCCTGGAAAATTTTTAAAAGGTAAAAGCAACATTTATAATTTAAGTAAGGGAATTCATAGAATAAATTTTAACTCAGTTGTGTAATTACATGATATATGCATTAATTAAAGCATCTGTATCTGGTACAAATCTAGAAAATCATATAAAAATTCTATTACATAACAAGCATTACTCAGGTAAATTGCACATTCAATAAATTATTTGCATCCTGTGCGTGACTTGACCAAACAAATTTCAGAATTAGGTAGAAATAACCAGAGACAAGAGAAGGGCCACCAACATGCTCTCCAATCATATTGGAAATAGCTGTAAAACCAGATTATGTTTTCCTTTCTCTGATTATGGGAAACTGGGTTGCTTCTTTGGAGACTTATCCATTTTGAAATGAGTAAAAGACAGAAAATAGAGGGGTTTTAATGATACTTCAGAAAACTAATTTTAAGTAACATGGAAACATTCTTCATCTAGATAAATGGCCGACTGTGCTGTCATTACAGTGGAGCTTTCCATGACTCACAGGATATACAGCATTTCTGTTGATGTAAATCTCAGTACTGTGACTCTTTCCTCTCCTATCTTCTCTTTTCTGCCTCACAACATCTGAGCTTCCACTCTTTCCATGATCTAAACACATAATTAAAATGCACTGTGAAACAATGAGTACTATATTTCTGATTTGGGGGCCCCATCATAAACAATACAAGGTTTAAATTATCCTTATTTATTTCTTAAAATAATTTCACTATTCTAATGTTTATTTGTGAAATCAGCATTTTTTGTCTTTTCTTATTGTTCAATCATTGAATGGAAGGTATTCTGAGGGTCCTTCAATTACCTTGAAATAAGTGGCAGCATGATCAAGAAAACAATTAACTATAGCCATACATAAGATAGATGCTTTATTATTAAAAATGTCCAAATACTACTTCAACACAGTATGCCCTAGTTACATCTATTTTAAAAATGAAGAAAACCTCTCTCATTAAAAATGACCAGGACACAAGGCAGTCAATAAACACTAATAATAAAACTATTACCATAGCTGTTGATTTGCATAGCACTGAGCTGGCTGCCCAGCTGGGTGACAGATGAAGTGGATATAGGACCTGGATAAGAAGATTGTGCAGAGGGTTGGTATGGTGCATGTGAGGATGCCACATTGTTGACAGGTGGAGGGCCTGGAAATCTGAGAGAGGAAAACAGGATGTCAAACAATATCACAGCGTCTCAAGCAAATGGCGTACAATAATGTTAATAGCTTGTAAAATTAAATTAAGCCTGTCTAGTAGGCCTAGGAAAATGACTGATATTATATACTAAATCTTTAATTAAGCTTGACATGAACTCAATATGATCATGTAGCATCATCTTATATTTATGCTCACATGCTGAACATGCCAAGACAGAAAAAAAAAATCCTAATGTGAGCATAAAACCAGTTCTGGAAATCAATTTGGGAAACTGAGCCAACCAGAGCCTTATCTATACTAAAGTTAATCATCAACAGAATGAAAATCAAGAAAACAATACAGCCAGGAGCAGCGGCTCATGCCTATTATCCTAGCACTTTGGGAGGCTGAGGTGGGAGGACAATTTGAGCCCAGGAATTCAAGACCAGCCTGGGCAACATAGTGAGACCCCCTTCTCTACAAAAAATAAAACAAAATAAAATAAAAAATTAGCCAGGAGTGGTGGCGCTACTTGGGCGGTTGAAGTAAGATGATCACTTGAGTCCAGGAGGTCAAGACTACAGTGAGCTGAGACTGCACCACTGCACTCTAGCCTGGGCAACAGAGCCAGACCCTGTCCCAAAGAGAAAAAAAAAAAATCTAAAAATTACATCATGCTTTACCTTTGATTTAGCTTGAACTTATTAGACGTTTATTTTTTCTTGTTCTGCATTAAACAATGGCCGCTATCTGGACAATGTGCCTAGCATGGTTAATCTGCCAAATGCGATTAAAGCCTGCCTGAGAGTCACATTATAAATTCTTATGAATTTTAAATTTTAAATTAAGTTTTCCCAAATGGTATACTCTGATTTCAATTTCTCTATCTGAAAACTGGAAACTATTTCCCCATGGCCCATGTCTTGCCTTCTGCCCCCTACTGCCATTGAGAGGTTAGGAGCAGAGCCTGAGGGAAGCCAGTGCTTGCCTGAAGTCCCACAATTTATTTGTGACAACACTAGGACCAGCGTTTTTCCAGGTCTTCAGTGAGTGCACTATTCAAAGCATCACACTAATTTTATCTTGTCATTTTTCTCCATATGTTTAAATTGAATAATTATTATAAACAAAACAGAAAATTAACCTTCCAACCATTACTCTGAGTGCATGACATTAAGCATATTTGCAGAATAGTATCTCACACTTTGAGATAAATAGGTGAGTGATGAAAATGCTCTTTTCCACTCATACCTCTGAACAGCTTATTTCTGCAGTCTATGTTTTATCGGTAGCCGGAATTGACTTTATAATTTAGGACTCTTCTGTAATGATACAGAAAGGCTGCCTAATAAAATACATGTTGCAAGAAAAAAAAAAAAGAAAATGGTCTTTCCATTCTTTCCATTGTACGCACAAGTACAAGCTATCCTATAGCAGAAAATTGGCTAGAAATAATGGAATGAATAACATTGTAACCCAAAAATACTGTTAAACAAAACTATCCAATTTCTCTCCTGTCAAACTTTTCAAAAAGCCCAACACAGTTAGGCTAAGCACCCTTTGACTTAAATACTTTTTGGAAGAAAATGAATAAAAGATAGAAAATACAAACATTAACTTTTCACAGTAAAAGTTTTCTTTATATCTCTAATCAATTAATGACACTGGTGAAACACAAGCACAAAAAATATAATTCTAGTCCTGCATGACACATTTAAAATATGTTGTGATCACTAAAAAATGATTTCAAGAATTACATTAAAGGTCTGTTTTGTAAATCCATTGTTTCCTAAGACGAAAACATTTCTTCTTTTTAAGAAATAATACTTTTTCGTCTTTTAAAAAAACTTTGTCTGCGGGGCGTGGTGGCTCATGCTTGTAATTCCAGCACTTTGGGAGGCCGAGGAGGGCGGATCACGAGGTCAGGAGATCGAGACCATCCTGGCTAACACGGTGAAACCCCGTCTCTATTAAAAATACAAAAAATTAGCCGGGCGTGGTGGTGGGCGCCTGTAGTCCCAGCTACTTGGGAGCCTGAGGCAGGAGAATGGCGTGAACCTGGGAGGCGGAGCTTGCAGTGAGCCAAGATCGCGCCACTGCACTCCAGCCTGGGCAACACAGGGAGACCCCGTCTCAAAAAAAAAAAAAAAAAAAAAAAAGTTTGTCATAGGGAATAAATGAAGTAATTACACACAGGCAGAATATACATGTACTATAGAATATATTCATGGATGCAATGAGGTATGGTTACAGATGTTGGATTTGATAAGCAGAAACTGGGGATGTTGCATTTATATGGAGAAAAAACCTCCCCAAAACATTTTCAAAGGTGTTTCATAAATGCTAGTACTTTTAAATATACAGTTCTGTGAATCATTTTTTGTTTTTACAATACAGGTAGGACAAAATATATTTCAAACAGGAGTTATAACACAAGCAGCTTCAAGTATTTTTTTTAACTTAACAAAGGTTAAGGATTTAAAATAGAGAATGAGAGACTATATAACCATCAGTTATTACTTTCAACTCATAAATGCCTACTTATGATTCAGTGCCTAACATATACCCCAGGAGTTAGGTTTCAGAAATTCACAAATAAATTATTTCTTTCTGACCAACTTAAATATGGTAAGTCTTAAATAGATTTGGTTTTTAAAAGCAATTATTATCAATTTTAAAATAAATAGAATAGTATTAAATGGCTAACAAACCCCTCATATAAATGCCTCACATAAATGAGGGAAGAGATGAAAGAACATCTTAAACATACAAATTAGTTTAATTTTTTTTTTTTTTTTTTTTGAGACGGAGTTTCGCTCTTGTCGCCCAGGCTGGAGTAAAATGGCAAGATCTCGGCTCACTGCAACCTCCACCTCCCAGGTTCAAGTGATTCTCCTACCTCAGCCTTCCGAGTAGCTGGGATTACAGGTACGCAGCACCACACCCAGCTAATTTTTGTATTTTTAGTAGAGACAGGGTTTCACCATGTTGACCAAGATGGTCTCAATCTCGTGACCTCGTGATCCGCCCGCCTTGGCCTTCCAAAGTGCTGGGATTACAGGCATGAGCCACCGCACCCAGCCAATATTTTTTAATTTCATTACTTTATTGAAAGTCACATAGCATGTTGTACAAAGCTGAGGTGGGAATCCAGGTCCTCCTGCCCTAGTGTAGAAACCTGGTGTGTAACTATAGGTAAGCCACTTAATCTCTGTAGCTCTCAGCTTTCAAATTCTGAAAAAGAGCATGTGAAATGGAGTGATCCCTTTTTTTTTTTCGCTATAAATATAATGTTAAAATTAAGAACCATATAGAGTTAAATAAATGTTTCTCATGTTGACTGCCTTTATTCAACATGGCTCTGGACTGAAAAACATTCAATTATATATTTTAATTTATGGTTTCATTGAATGTCAAGTATATATTTTAATTTACATTTCACTGAATGTCAGAGAAGGGCAGATTCACCATAGGAAAGAATTCAATAAAGAATTACTACCAGATGATTAATAAAACATGAAAATTTAGCCTCAATTTAATCCTAATCCTCTGCAGAGTTGACTCAGTTTTCTGTGGCCTGTTCAACTTCAAACACTCCCCATATTCAAGTTTGCAATAAATTGCTCAAGAAATGAGATGTATGCTGAAGTTTGTATGCGGAATTAAGATGCCAAGTTTTTCAAGATTTGATTGAAACAAAATCAGAATTTTGAATACCTAGCCCATAGAGAAAAAATGAAAGTTCCACCAAATCCTAGCATCGTTCTCCACACTAAATAAAATTGAAGAAAAAACAACTACTTCTCTTATTTTTATTGCTCCTTCCTTCAACTTTTGTTGAAATCAATTTCTTAGTAGATTCACACATATCAGCTTCAATTTGGGAAGATGGGTCCACTGTTCCCTCAAATTCACTGTTTCTTCATCAGAATACATCACTTAAACTTGATTGATTGAATTTTTATTTTATAATTAAAAACACTGATTTTTAGGTTGCAGATTTTATTTAATATCCTACCCAGTAGTAACTCTATGTAGATAACTTTAGCACTGCTTGCAAGTTTAAGACATTTATTCTTCCTCAGTCAAATCAAAAAGACAAATAACTAGGTATGATTTTTAAATTTTATAAAACATTATATTTAAAAAGCAGTATTTTAAAGATAAAAATTTTACATGTTAAATTCAAATCAACATAGTAACTTATTTATATCTTGTTTTTATTTGATAATTTAGATACAGTAAAATTAAAATATTTCTTTGGTATACTAAGTACAAATGACACAGATAAAATGCTAGAATCCACAAAGAAGAGTCATATGCCATCTATGCTCTTTGACAGCCTCTGTCATCAGACTGATGTGATTCACCTGCACAATCACGGTGCACTTTACCCTTGCATTGCGCTACATTCACAGAAGCATGTCCCATGAGGGCAAGGCAGCATGGTAACCAGGAAGGCTCAGCCTGAAATACTATACTTTTCCCTGACTTTTTCACTTTTTAACCCCAATTCTAACCTTCAATCCAGTATGCAAGTTGTAGCAAGTGAACAGTAGAAGAGAGGGAGTAAAATCTGTCAGTACTTCCCTAGGAATCACCACAAAAGCAGATTCTTTAAGCTATCAAGAGATTCCTGAGCTGTCATGAGTAACTAGATTGAGCTCGAAGGACAGACAAGCTATAAACAGTGGACTTTTCAGATCCAATGGAAATGATATTGACAAATGCTAAGGTGTTGAGTCCATGGGCCCTAGTGCACTGTGTAAGGTACTCTGCATGTATTAATCATTAAAATCCTCACAACCACATATTATTGTTAAAATCGTCATGAGGAAACCGAGGCACACAGAGGTTAGGTAACTTATCTAGCTAGTAATTGTCTGGGCCAAGATTAGCAAACATGTCCTGACTCTAGAGTCCTCTGCTCTTCACTGGGCCAGACCCTGTGCTGGGCTCACAATCACAAAGTTAGGGCCTGCTTGATGGTAAAGTCCATGGTTTACTCACTCCTAAGCAACCTGATCAAGTGAAATAAATGGCAATAAACCAAAAAGATCAATCAATTCCAAGCTAATACCAGTGACCAAAACATTCTTCTAAACTTGAAACCAGCTGTTCAATCTTTGCACTTCTTTCTTTTTAAAAAAAATATCTGAGATGCCTGGAAGTTTACAACAATTTTTTTTGCCTTGAGACAGGGTCTCCCTCTGTCACCCAGCCTGGAATATAATAGCATGAACACAGCTCACTGCAGCCTTGACCTCCTGGGCTCAAGCAATCCTCCCACCTCAGCCTCCAAAGTAGCTGGGACCACAGGTGCATGCCACCATGCTTGGCTAATTTTCTATTTTTTTTTGTAGAGATGGGGTCTCATCATGTTGCCCAGGCTGTCTCGAACTCCTGGGCTCAGGCGATCCTCTCGTGTCAGCCTCCCAAAGTGTTGGGATTACAGATGTGAGCCACCACACCTGGCAACCATGAATTTTTCTAGGTCTTCTCCCCTTTACTTCTGGACTGAGAATTCTATATTCTCATTTTACAAGTGAGTCTGTGAGCCACCACACCCGGCAACAATGAATTTTTCCAGATCTTCTCCCCTTTACTTCTGGACTGAGAATTCTATATTCTCATTTTACAAGTGAAAATGAGGACAGGCATGGTCAAGGAACTTCACCAGTGTCCACAGTTAGTAAACTGCTTGAACCAGAAGAGGCATTTTGGTTCTCCGTCTTTTTGCTCTTCCTCTCTTGCCTTTCTATCACTCTTTTGAGACTCAGGGCAGTAGTTTCAGGTCCCAAGTAAGACCCTTTGACTTCTTGCTCCAAGCTTAAACCACAATCACGCTTAATGACCTACCCTCTGCATCCCATAGCTACCATTTCAACCGGCAAATGTCATGTTATCATGACAAACAAGAGCCAGCCAGTGCCAAGCTCACAAATGCCCTGTAGGAGAATTAACCTGATGACTTTAAAAAATCCCAGAGGGAGTTTTCCTATTATGGAGGACTATAGGCTTCATGAAAGGCCATGACTAAAAGGCTTCACCATTAGGAGGATCTACAGTCACATCTAGGGGGTACTGCCCATGCCTCCCCACCCCCAAACCTTGCTACCTGGGAAGGAACCTGAGAAATGAAGCCTCTGGGTAATCCTTGGAGAAACTCCAAAGCAAACACTGCCTGCGGCTTGGCACTGGCTTGGCACAGGTTCTCAGCAGCTACACCTCACCGGATAAACAATAATGGGATTTCTAACAGGGAAGGTGTGATACTGGCTTCTTTCCCAGGGATTAGTCCCTAGTGGGCTGCAGGCTCTAAATATTTCATACATCTTGGCTTCTCCAGGCCTGCTTCCAACTTTTCCCTTCCTCAATTTATTATAAACACAAACACAAGATTTATTTCCTGTGTTGTTTTTACTACAGCTCTGCCTTTTGATAATCCCTCACTGGCATCTGTGTGCCTTCCACATCAAGCTCACAGACCCATTGGCGACAATCCGATTTAATTTTAAAATACTTATTAAGCACCCATTGGCACTGAGCTCAGTTCTGTGAAGGATCCAAGAAAATAGAATGATTTAAAGTTTTATTCAAGAATAAAGGCCATGGGCATCTAAAGGAATTAAAATTGATATAAAATTCTAAAATAAACTGAATATAACTCAAAACTAACATGTATGGTATTGACACAAGTAATTTTTGATACATTTTTAAATACCTACTAATACTGTCTTTTTCTTCATAACTTTTCTTGTTTTTTTTTGAGACAGGGTCTCACTGTGTTGCCCAGGCTGGAGTGCAATGGCACAATCATAGCTCACTGCAGCCTTGACTTCCCGGGCTTACAGGATCCTCCCATCTCAGCCTCTCCAGTAGCTAGGACTACAAACATGCACCACCAGGCCGGCTAATTTTTTCTATTTTTGTAGACATGAGGTCTCACTATGTTGCCTAGCCTGGTCTCAAACTCCTGGGCTCAAGCCATCTGCCCAACTCGACCTCTCAAAGTGCTGGGATTAAAGCCGTGAACCATCATGCCCAGCCATAACTTTTCTTATTGCTTTGTTTCCTAGGGCAGTTATCTAACAGATCCTTTCAGGGGTGTGTAACATCATCAAAACGTCAAACTTTCAACCAATAAACATACAAGCTTAGAAGGTATTTCTGAAATAATTTTAGGAGAATATACAAACGAAGGTTGGAATCTACCTAGCTCACCTTTGGGGAGGGTGACCAGTGGCATGAGCTCCATTCTGACCAAACTGATGGGGTCCAGGAGGTGGGGGACCCGGAGGCAACATTCCCCTAGTGGCGGTGGCCCCCAAAGGCCCTGCTGGCTTCATCATACCTGCAAGAGAGGGGCATGAATTTAGAAGTGTATTAAAGTACAAAGAGAGATGAGGCAAAGTCATTAGGTTAAAAATGAGAACTAGGTGGAGGAGGAGGGAAACAAATGGATTAGAACAAAATCTCTTTCAAGCTTAACCATCACCTACAGACCTGTCAATACCAGGCTCTGGCATGAGTATTTGACTATCATAATGATGAAAGAGCAGAAAAGAAGGGAATCATTTTATCACTAAACAGAAACTAAAACAGAAAAAAATAAATTTGCATATGACAGAGGCACCTTGATAAAGTATATTACCACGCAAAGAATACTAAAACACGCAATGAAAAATGGCAGTTAGATATCAGAAAATAAACCTGGAAAAAGCAGGAAGGGTCATGGTAAAGCATTCTAACTGTAACTAAACGGGGCATGGGGGAGAACACTAGAAATGCCTTTGACTTACAGCACAACAAAAGCAGATGGGGAGTAGGGTCTATCTTTCTAAAAATCCTGAGCACTTCCTTCAGAGCTTAAAAATCTTTCCAGAATCCTAACTGGCTGGATGATGAACAGCTGGGGGACTGCTCACTCACAGAGTCAGATTCACCATGCTTGCTCAGACAAAATATGGGACCACATGCAGTTAACGGATGCTTCTGGGAATGTCTGTGTTTTCATTTATTAGCAGCTCTTCTCAAATAGAGACCTTTAAAGACTTCTCTTTGGAACTGTCTTCAGACATTTCTCTCTTTTCTTCTTGAGAAATTGCAGTAAAGGAGAGAAATCACTGGGCTTGGGTTAGAGTAGTTCAAGGCCCCACTGGTTACTTATTAGTTGTATGAACCTGGGCAAGAAGCTTATCTTTAAGGACCTCAGTTTTCTTCCTGTAAAATGAAAGGCTTAGACTAGATTACCTGAGACCTCTTCTAGCTTCTAGAAAGAAAAAAAGAGAAAAGAAAAAAAGAGAAAAACTTCAGTTCTTCTATCTGCTGTCTCCACTTGCTTGTTTTCCCTCATTTGATTTACTTTTGACCATACCCTGCTCTCTGGCAAGGTCATCAATGACCACCTAGCTGCCTGCTGTGCACTCCTCCTTTTGACTTCGTCATAGTATTTCATATTAACATTTCCTTTATTCTGTTATATTCCTCCAGAAAGTTTATTCTCTCAGATAGAAAGGAATTGACTGATGATGTATAGTCACCCAGGAAGAGTTTCTTATATTGTCATCATAATTGCTTTCGAGAGAATGCTTTCAGATGTTTGCATAATCTAAAATGACAGGTATCTAGTGAAGTGCCGGTCTTCATGAATAATATTGAAACTTTTACAAGGTTTCCTCTCTTAAAATAGGATTCCTTAAACTGAGGACATTTTTATATTAATTCTACATAGTTTTACTTAGCAAATTCATATACCACTATTTTCAATAAATATTATCCTTATAGCACTACACTTTAATACAAAGTTCTAAACCCCAAACCCAGCAAAGTTAGAAAAACATGAGACTTGCAGTCACAGACAAGTTTGAATTTGTGACTCCGATAAGATACTCTATTTTTCAGAGCTTCAACTTGTAATCCCATGTCATGGCAATAATATTCCCTAGCTCCAAGGATTGTTCTGAGAATTAAATGAACCAATGGATATGACGGTTTTTAAAACAGCTGTTTCATCTTCCCTGGCCATAGCCCCTGCTCTCCTTTCTTAAGCATTTTTATTCTAACAAAGCATATGCAACATAATTACAAGCACATTTATATTTTCATTTTAAAAACATTATTTTGGACAAAAGTAGGCAATTCACAACAGTAGCATTAAAATATTTTCAACTTAAATAATTACATGCACTACGAGAAGTCGAAAATATTCTTTTTTTTTTGGTCTTTTTTTTTCTTTTTTTAAATTTGCCTCACAGCTCTCCAAAAATATTCCCCCTTTAAAAAAATAAGTAGGATAGCAGCAATTTTCATGAAAACCCCTATAGACATGTCTAGAGAATTAAAAAAAAAAGCTCTGATATATGCAAGCAGAACTTTATACATCAATATTACTGTGCTCTCCCTTTTGTTTGGGAATCAACTCTATGGCAGTGATTCAAATCATTCTGTGGCATTCTCAAATCATTCTCATTATTATTCAACATACATTTAAGGTGCCTTTGAGCCATTTGAGAGAAGAGACAACCATGTAAACAAATCATTACAATGTCTTGGGATGACTGTTACAATATGCAGAGAGACTACCTAACTCTTCCTGGGGGAATTGAGAAGAGTTCAAAGAAGGAGGACTGCTTGAGCTGAATCTTGAAGGACAAGCAGGAGTTTTCTTCATATAGAAGACAGGATAAGGGATTCCAGTTAGAAAGCAAAGCTTGAGCAAAGACATGAGAGAGGATGGCACGACCAGGACAGGGGAAAGGCTTGGTGTGGAGAGGCTGGGAGGGAAAGTAGCCAGAGTGGAAGCTGTCCAGGTTGGCTGGGGTCAGACTGCAAAGTCCTATGTGTCACTTGCACTTCACCCCCAGGGCAAAGGGAAGTCAGTATCACTGATATCTGCAAAGTCATAGTCTTCCCCCAGCCATGTTATTGGCATTTTCAAAAGTACTCAAACACAAACAGAATCAGGTCCTTTATAGAGCAATATGAGAATTTTAATAGGAAAGGAACACCGTGCAATGAGAATGAACTGTTCTTAAGACACCCCCCACCAAAAAAAATCTAAGATCACAAGTTGGTCTCTCACACAGCGGCAGATACCATGGACCAGTAAACACAACAATTCCAATCCCTTTCTGACTTTTCTATTAATATTAATATAAGGTCTTGAGGTGGAAAAGTGAAAATTCCTAGACTGCCTTACAATTTGTTTTGCCATATGCTCTAAATTCAGCAAAGCAGCACACCTCTGGGAGACTCTGGCCAGCCTGGTGGCAGAGATGATTCTCCTGGGAGAGAATGGTGGTGACTTCTGGTGGAATGGTCCTGCATGGGAATGTTCATTTTCATGGACCACATACTCCCAAGTCTGGTTCTCTGCCTTTTTCTGATGTTTTGTTTGCTTCCTGATACCCTTTAACAAATCCCTTTCCACTAAAGGGGACTGTTATCAGCAAAGTAACACTGACCAAACCACATCACAGAATAGCATGCCTTGAATTTGGTCCTGGACCTGACAAACTAAAACCAAAATTAAAAGCCATTTGTTGGGGGGGGAAAATGTTTATCTAAAATAAACAAAGATAAGCTCCCTATTATATGGGTAGAATTGTAATGACCATGGTCCCTAAAGCACCATGCTTGATCCACCTATATAAGCTCACTATTAGGAGCCCTATCACCACCCCACAGCCCCTGTTCTAGGTTCAGGACATTAATACTTTTTTTTTTTTTGAGACAGAATCTCGCTCAGTCTCCCAGGCTGGAGTGCAATGGTGCAATCTCAGCTCACTGCAAGCTCCGCCTCCCAGGTTCACGCCATTCTCCTGCCTCAGCCTCCCGAGTAGCTGGGACCACAGGCGCCTGCCACTACGCCCGGCTAATTTATTTGCGTTTTTAGTAGAGACGGCGTTTCACCATGTTAGCCAGGGTGGTCTTGATCTCCTGACCTCGTGATCTGCCCATCTCAGCCTCCCAAAGTGCTAGGATTACAGGCGTGAGCCACCGCACCCGGCCTTACATTAATACTTCTTAACTCTCAGTCTCCAGACCAGTGTCCTCAAGCAAGGGCGATTTTGCCCCTAAAATAGGACATCTGGCAATGTTTGGGACATTTTTGGTTGCCACAACTCCCAGAAGGTTGGGGGAGGTACTACTGGCATCCAGTGGATAGAGACCAAAGATGCTACTAAATATCCCACAATGCACAGGATGGCACTCTGTTACCCTCCCCCAACGAAGAATTAATTGGCCCCAAATGTCAATAGTGCTGAAGCTGAAAAACCCTGCTGCAGAGAGCAGTATGCCCAGCTGTAATTCCTTCTCCACACTTAGTAATGTTCTATGTAGCTTTCTAAACTGTACATACATTGGATTGTGACCCTTCCCAGACTAAATCACTTCAGTGGTACTCTACTGCCCTTACAATAAAGTCTAAATTCCTTAAAATGATCCCACATTCCCCCGCCAATGGCATCTCTCACCGTTCCCATGCTATTCCCCAGCTATGCCAAATGTCTTGCAGGTCCTGAAAAGTACCGCCTTCCAATCCCAGCAAACTGCTTCCCGACCTGGCCAATTCTCACTCATGTTTCAGGGCATTCCCTCCGGGAAGGAGCCCTTCCACCCTAAGTCTTGTTTAGGTGCCCCTGCCACGTGCTTCCATACCACCCTCTACTTCCTTTACAATAGTACTTCCCCACAAAATTGTCATTGTTAATTTCTTTAGTGCATTTCTCACTAGCTAAGTAAATACTATGAGGACTGAGATTAGGCTTATTTTATTAAGTGTCATATTACCACAATTATTTTGTTCATCAAATAAATTGTTAAATTTGTGGCTGGGTGCAGTGGCTCATGTTTGTAATTTCAGCACTTTGGGAGGCCAAGGCAGGAGGATGGCTTGAGGCCAGGAGATCGAGACAGAACTGGGCAACATAGTGAGACCCCATCTCTACAAAAAATTTTAAAATTAGCTGGGCATGGTGGGCACACCTATAATCCTGGCCACTTGGGAAGCTGGGGCAGGAGGATCATTTGAGCCCAGGAGTTCAAGGCTGCAGTGAGCTATAATTTCGTCACTGCAATCCAGCCTGAGTAACAGAGCAAGACCTTGTCTCTTTAAAAAAAAGTGTTAGGGGCCAGGCGCGGTGGCTCATGCCTATAATCCCAGCACTTTGAGAGGCCGAGGCGGGTGGATTACCTGAGGTCGGGAGTTTGAGACCAGCCTGACCAACACAGAGAAACCCCGTCTCTACTAAAAATACAAAATTAGCCGGGTGTGGTGGCGCATGCCTGTAATCTCAGCTACTCAGGAGGCTGAGGCAGGAAAATCGCTTGAACCTGGGAGGCGGAGGTTGCAGTGAGCCGAGATCGTGCCATTGCACTCCAGCCTGGGTAATAAGAGCGAAACTCCGTCTCAAAAAAAAAAAAGTGTTAGTATACAGCACTAGCTTTACAAAAACACAATGAATAAGCATAAATGGAGATACGATAATGTGAGCAACACAAAGCAAGAGTTAGCACTGGCCAGATCTACAGTGGAATAGATACTTCAAAGAACCACAATAAGTTTGCTTGTGTCTGTCAGGAGACCAATAAAAGCGTCACTAAAAGGCTAGACAAGAAGACACAGGAAGACTGAAGATTAAGGTATCTAAGGTTATTCAGCAGAATATAATCAGAGATATAAGAGCTGGAGTAATTTAGTGAAAGTCTTAAATAATTAAACCAAAACACCACAATATGCATAGAAAGATATATTTGCAGAGAGTATAATAGCCTGGTTATTCACCTGATATTTAATAGCCATTAAGTAAGGAGAAAGCAGTTTAAACTAAAGCATGAAGGATTTAATCCAACAAAGACAGCTTTTAAAAACACTGGTAAGGCCAGGTGCCGAGGCTAACGCCTATAATCTCAGCACTTTGCGAGGCCAAGGCGAGAGGATCACTTGAGCTGAGGAGTTCAAGACCAGCCTGGGAAACATAGGGAGATCCCATCTCTACCAGCTACTTGGAAGCTAGGCAACAGAGCAAAACCCTGTCTCAAATAAATTAATTAATTTAATTTAATTAAATATTGGTAAATACCAGAGTGTTTTGCTAATGAGTGCTACAGTTTGTCATCCACTTCATTGAATAAACATTTATAATTAGCTCAATTTAACCATTCCACAGTGTATACATATTTCAAAACAATATGTTGTACATTATATATATATGTATATATAATTTTTTATTTGCCAATTAAAATTTTTTTTTTTAAAAACAGCCATGAGTGCCTTCTCTGCTCCAGGAACATCTACTATAGGAACATCTATTATAACACAGTATGGCAAATAGTATAGAGGCCTGAAAAAGTATTAGAATACAAAAGAATTCAAATTAGATTTGCATGGTATAAAAAAATCCCTCTGGCTCAGGAGTTGATGGTTTGGAAAAAGACAGTATTGGAGAGAGGGATAATAGTTACAAGATCATTTTAGTAATCCATGTGAGAGATGGATGGATTGAACAAAAAGAGTGACAGGAGAATGGAAAGGAGAAAGCAGGTAGGAAAGCTGTTTACAATCACTCCAAAAAGATTTGGGAGACCGATTACATTGGAGGAGATAAAAAGGAGGGAGAGGTTTTTTTGCTTGTTTGTTTGAGAGAGTCTCACTCTGTTCCCCAGGCTGGAGTGCAGTGGCGTGATCTTGGCTCACTGCAACCTCCATCTCCCTGGTTCAAGCGATTCTCATGCCTTAGCCTCCCAAATAGCTGAGATTACAAGCATGTGCCACCATGCCCAGCTAATTTTTATCTTCTATTTTTTTAGTAGAGACCGGGATTCACCATGTTGGCCAGGCTGGTCTCAAACTCCGGGCCTCAAGTGATCCACTTGTCTTGGTCTCCCAAAGTGTTAGGATTACAGGTGTGAGCCACCACACCCCACCAAGTTTTGTTTTTTTGTTTTTTTAATAAAGTTTCTGGTATGGATCACGAAATAAATGATGCTAATGAGTGAGATTTGAAATGCCAGAAAACATAGGCTTCCATGATGAATATGGAATTGTTTTGGGCATGGTGACTGTGACGTGCCTCAACAAAGGTGGGCAACTGGAAATATGGGTCTAGAGCAAGCTTTTCCAACCCACGGCCCACACGCAGCCCAGGACAGCTTTGAATATGGCCCAACACAAATTTGAAAACTTTTTTAATCCATTATGAGATTTTTTTGATTTTTTTTTTTTTTAGCTCATCAGCTATTGTTAGTGTATTTTATGTGTGGCCCATGACAATTCTTCTCCCAGTGTGGCCCAGGAAAGCCAAAAGACTGGATACCCCTGGTCTAGAGCTTAGGGGAGGCATCTGGGCTGGAGAAATAGATCTGAGAGACAAGCACTTTCTGTGAATGATCCAGCTTAGGGAAAAATCTACAGAGTGGGATAACAGTAGTGAAGATGGAACATGGAGGGAGAAACAGCAACACTTAAGAGTCATGTAGAAGAATTCCTTCAAAAGAAATGTCCAGAAAGCAACCCAAAAAAATGGGCACAATGGCTCACACCTATAATTCCAGCACCTTGGGAGGTGGAGGCGGGTGGATCACGTGAGGTCAGGAGTTCGAGACCAACCTGGCCAACATTGTGAAACCCCGTCTCTACTAAAAATACAAAAATTACCCAGGCATGGTGGCGGGCGCCTGTAATCCCAGCTACTCAGGAGGCTGAGGCAGGAGAATCACTAGAACCCAGGAGGCTGAGGCAGGAGAATCACTAGAACCCAGGAGGCGGAGGTTGCAGTGAGCTGAGATCGCAAAACTGCACCCCAACCTGGTCGACAGAGGGAGACTCCACCTCAAAAGACAACAACAAAAGGATAGTGTCATTGAAACCAAAGGAGAAAAGAGTTTTGTAAAAATGAGAGTGGTAAACAGAGTCAAATACAAAAGAGGACAGACAGCACAATGTCTACTGCATTGAGAAATAGGACACTGATAGTCCTGGTGAGGGAAGTGAAAGTGTGGATGGGGTGGCAAACTATGGAGTGTAAACTATGCTGAGCCATGGAGGGAAGGAGAGGTAAAGGTGGAGATTACCAAGCATAGTGAGTACTTTCTCAAGAAGATGCCTGTGAAGAGGGAAGGGTGAATAATATAGAGTGTTATACTTAGGTGTGTATGCAATTTGTTTTTTGCCTTCTTGAGAGATCTGGGTATGAATCCTGGTGCTACTACTTGCTGTCTGTGACCTTAGACAAGTCACATGACACCAGACATTCAGTTTTCCTAGCTGCAAAAATAACTTACTGCATAGCATTGTATGAGGATTAAATAAGACAATACAGGAAAAGCTTTTAGGGCCAGATTTCGACACATCATAAAAAGGAATAATTTATAATTATCATTATAAATAAATGCTGAGGAGAAATGAACCACCAGTTAGAAACTGAAGGGGTTAATGGTTTCTACAGGATCCAGTAAGGCAAGATTACAAACATTCTGGAGAGGATGGTCCTGAACAAGAAGAGGGATGCTTCATCTGGACATCTTTAAAATCTCGGGAAGAATAAATCATAAGACTGACTTTCCACAGGAAATTCACAATCTCAGAGCATCTTCTGCAGCACACTGTGTGTGGCTGCTAACATCAAGCCTCACTAAAGGGAGTCCTCACCCCTTGCTGATTCTGCACTATATACATTCTACCTAGCACAGCCTGGATCCCAGATATCTAAGCTAGTTCCAGTGAGCCCTGAGAGTTACTCATTGATTTATACATGGTCCATTTGTACAAAGAATTGTACAAAGAATTATCCTCACATGATGTACAGATTTATCTAGGGCCAATCCTAGATAAGGATATGTGAATTTAATTCATTTATAAATTTAATTCTTTTTTTATTCAATGTTTACAATAGCCTTACACCACTAATTAACAGCAAGAACAAGACTCACAGTAAAAATAAAACAGGAAGTGTTTGTTTTAGTCTATATTTAAAAACCAAACTTGTATTGCATGCAATAACCAAACTAGTGATGTAGAGTTCTGCTATGAGAGCCTTTTCCAAATGATCCTGTAATCTCAAGCCATTTCATTATATAATGATCATTCAATGCTTTCAAATCTCCTCTTTCAGAACATCTTATGTCTCTGAGCCTGAGAACTGAATAATCACATACAAGTCAAAATAACACACTGTACCTGTTGGAGATGCTGTGTGCGACGGATCCCCATAGTGCCCATAATGAGGTGGAGAAAGGCCTATTCCAGGCTGAGGCTGAGAATACGGAGGTGTAGCCACGTAACCTTGTTGACTCATTATGAAAATATCATTCCATAGGATAATTCTACAAAAGAAGTCTGCAACAGAGAAACAAGAAACATGTTACCAAGACAGTTTTAGTTACGTAAAGCTATTAAAAATATAAACACTGTTATTACATGTTTATGATGGTTTGAGGAAAAGTACAGATATCAGGTACATGAGAAATCTTTGTATTATACAATATATCATTATCCCCTAAAAAGGGCCTAACCATAGCTCTCTGAAACTCAGTAAATCACTTCAATAATCCTGGGCAAATTCTCAAGCATGAGACCTGAATAATAACTCGCAACCACTTTTTTAATGGAAGCCTGAAGCATCTCACAGATAGTCTCTCATAGTGTTCCTATGATTTTGTGCTTTTGGTTTCCATGGTCACATTTCAGCACAGAGCACACCATGCCATTCAATTGACTGACCACCATAACTGCCAGTAGCCTGCAATCAGATGTTTTATGACTTACGTCTTTTTAGTGCTCATCTAATTAATTATTTTAATCTAGTCATTAGGACAAAGAGAAATCATAGTCCAACAAACATAGCAACAGACAACGTTGATAATGGGCTTATTTTATGAGTCATAATTTGACCGAGCCAGGTGGTCACTATAACCACTTGAGTGTTGTCAGTGGTTTTTCAAAGGCGACAGAATTTCTTTCTAATTTAAATCATATCACATCTCTAAGAACATATGCACCTATATTTAGGGGACTAAGGAAAAAAAGTGTAATTTTGTAAGTGTGTAGGCACACACATCACAAATATAACAGACTCATCTTGATTTTTTTTAAATCTTGATTCTAATCAGAACCCAAATTTGCTTTAAATTTTCTATTTTTTCCAGGTTTTAACAAAATAAGAGATATTTCATAGGACTGATGATTTAAAAAAAAAAATTAAATACGACAGAAAATGCTTTGAATGCAAGAGAAGTGGGTTTCCATTCTATGTCTGCCATACTTAACTGTGTGACATGGAATGAGCTGAAGAACCTCTCTAAGCCTCAGTTCCTTCTTTTAGAAAATGAAGCCTTTCCAGATTTCCACTGATTCTACAATTTATCTCCAGTTTATTTGCCCCATACAAGCATATTCTTCCTTTTGTTCTTTTATTTGCTACAATTTAAGATAAGAGATCAGTGATACCTGCTAAGACTTAGAATCTGTCTATATTCAAGAAATAACATTTCAAATTAAAAATTTGAAGCCTAAAATTTGTGATTTGATTTTGTTTCCATATTAAACTATAAGTTTCCAAAATAAAAGCAACCATGTAAAAATATTATGAGATCATTTCCTTCTCCTGGGAAGGGGAGAACTGAAAAAGAGGAGAGAGGCAGGCAAAGGCCTTCTGGTCCACTTTGTTTCTGACAACCCCTTTTTCCTCCTCCCACTTAGCAGAGAGAGACGTGGCAGCCTGAGCGCTGGTCAAGCTCATCCAACCAAGAGCACTTAGGAAGTCGGCACGAACACACCTAAGTAGCAGCCTGTTGCTGAGTGACAGAAAAGAGAGGCTGAGATGGTCACTCCAAAGAACAGGAAGCAGCCAGTTCCCTCTGAACTGGTCCTCAGAGGAATCAGCTTCCTCACGCAACCCAGTTTGCCACGTCAAACTTCCTCACACAGAGCACCAAGTTAAAGAAACCTGACTCAGCTTCAAGCGGCGACACGGCAGAAAGCCACTTGGTATAAGCAGGCCTAGGATCAAAATCTGGGGAGCCCCAACCCCAGAACGGCCCCCTGGCTCACTGTCACCCAGCAACTCTAGCCAAGGTGCACTTCTAACCCTGGAACAAGTTCGTATTTGGCCAGATCAGTTTCACTATTCGGATGTCCCGAGGCTTCAAGATATAGTTGCCATTTTTACCATGAATATTTCTAACATTTCCTTCCTTCAAAAAAGGAAATTAAGTTGATAAGGAGATGAGAAAACCGCTGGCAATGACACTCGAATGGTGGCCACTGAGGATCCTAACAAGGCAGTTCCTGCATCCCAAGGCAAAAGGTGGGGGCGGGTAAAAAATGCCCACGCCCACCTCCTGCTCCCCCATCCCGCCGGCCCCACTATTAAACTGCACTAGAAGGCTAAAGAACAAAGAATGAGTTCTCCTCCCGCCGCCACTGCCTCAGGTGAGCACCCGGCCTCCCGCCGCGTCCCCGGGCCGGGCGCCGCAACCCGCTCCGCTGTGCCTGGGCAGGGCTGTCCCGCATGAAGGCGTCCGCGGGTGGGAGGCTTTACCTGTTCCCGCTCCCGCACCCCGCGGGCTTCCGAGCGCTGGCGGCTCTGCGCCTAGTGCCGGCAGCCCTCGGTGGCCGGGCTCCCGCTGCGGTCGCTTCTCCCGCCGCGCCTCTTCCCCGGCCGGCGTCCCCTTAGCCTGGACTCACGCTCGGAGTTGCAGCTGGGCTGGGAACTGCCACGTCAAACCCTTTCTCGGCTGCGCGCCCCCAGCGCCGGGCTTGGACCAGCCGCCGCGCTCCCGCCTGCGCACGCGCACAGCCACCGGCCGCCGCGGGGCGGGGCCACCGGGCTGAGCCTGCGAGCGGCCGAGCGACCTCCCCCTTTTCGCTTTTTCCCTTTTTCCGGTTTTTTGTTTTTTGGTTTTCTTTTTCCCGTCTTTTCTTTCCCCTCCCCCTACAGGTCAAAGCCTTTAACGTCGTGGCTAAATCAGAACCGTATTTTCTCGGCGCAGCCCCGCAGGAAGGAGGGGAGCGCGTTCATTCATTCTTCCATCAACAGGTTGCAGTTTCAGCTCTTCATTCATTACGTATTACTTAAATAACTAATAGTTCAGGTACTGCACTACCGTTACATACGGGAAAGTACACGATCTGGACCTAGGGGAGATTACCGTTTAAAGGCGAATCTGGCACGTGTACACGCACATTTGATGACGTACCCGTGCAATGCACTACAGAGGAAGGAACGCCCAAAGCAGCCTGGCAACGTGTAACGCGGGAGGAGTGGGGGGTGGGGGAGATGTCCCAAAGGAAAAGTGTGGGAAGTGGGGTTTCCATTGATATTGGGGTTGTTAGCGTTGTGTATACTCCTTCTTCCGCATATTCCTTGTTTGTGAAGTAGGATGGCTGATCCCAGCCCCAAACAGGAATCTCTGCATGGAAAAGCACCCAGCGTTTAGCTCACCGTCCTGTGAGAAACAGCTCAGAAATAAAGGCAACCTATATGAGATCTGGAGCTTACCTCTCTATCTCACCCTAAAATCAGGACCATCTGGCTGGTTTCCTATCATCTTTCACTGCTAAATAGAAAGACATTCAGCCACTCCCAGGTTTGGTATAGCTACCACTTTGCTCAAACTTACAAAGTAAAAACCAGCCCGGTGTTGTTGTTTTTAACATGCACTTTCTTCCCGGCTACAAGAAAGCCACTTGACAAATACCTTTACTGATGAACTGCCTAGGTAAAAACGTACATGGGGATGTTGCTACTCCCGAAATGCTACATGAATTGTGCAGGAATTTTAAGTCATTTTAGCAGTAAAGATATATGGTCCATTTATCCCACTCTTAAAAGTTTTTAAGGCATGGGGCAAGGCACAGTGGCTCACACCTGTTATCCCAGCACTTTGGGAGGCCAAGCAGGGAGGATTGCTTGAGGCCAGGAGGCAGTGAGCTATGATCACACCACTGCGTTCCAGCGTGGGCAACAGAGTGAGACCCTGTCTCAAGAAAAAGAAAAAAAGATTTTAAGGTAAGATATCTGGCCTACATCCAGCTTCAACACTGATCAGGTTTGAAAACCCACATTGAAATTTTTGTTTTAAATTGTTTCTTGTATTCTCAATGTGATGAAAATGTTCAGTGGAAGTTTAGGAAGTTTTGGCCGGTGTTGAAGCAGTACAGCTTGTAAAAGCAGTGAAAGAACTTGTCATATAACAGCTACATTACAAGGAGCGAGTGAAGCTATGATACAAAGATAGGAGAGAGTAAAGTCAGAAACAGTCACACCATGTGATGACCTGCTTGACTTGTTACCCCTATAAAACCACTACTTTTGAATTGTAAATACATCCTCACCTCCTGCTCAGGTACCAAACTTGTCTGAAACCAGGACAATTTGTGGTTTCAATTCTAAAACAGTTTTTAATTCCTAAATGTTAAAGCTGGAAGGGACTTGGCCGGGCGCGGTGGCTCACGCCCGTAATCACAGCACTTTGGGAGGCCGAGGCGGGCGGATCACGAGGTCAGGAGATCGTAGACCATCCTGGCTAACACGGTGAAACCCCGTCTCTACTAAAAATACAAAAAATTAGCCGGGCATGGTGGCGGGCACCTGTAGTCCCAGCTACTCGGGAGGCTGAGGCAGGAGAATGGTGTGAACCCGGGAGGCAGAGCTTGCAGTGAGCAGAGATCACGCCACTGCACTCCAGCCTGGGCGACACAGCCAGACTCTGTCTCAAAAAAACAAAAAATAAAATCTGGAAGGGACTTTAGCGATATGAGTATTCAATTCAATATTCAGTGAGAACTGAATTCAATTTAATCATCTAATGGATTAATAGAAAGGTTTATTGAGAAAATTTAAAAGGCTTACTAGTCATTTATAGCTAGTTGGAAGTCATCCCTTCCAATTCCAAAGCTCTTTTCACCTCCCTATGCTTTTTACCTTCTGATACTCTGATTTGCTGTTCTCTTTTAACTAGTTCTGCCTTTTTCTCCTGTGACTGCCTTATATTCAAGTTCTCAAATAACTATTAACTGACTGCATAGTTCCACCAACAATTGGAGTTACTTATCATGAATCTCTTTTTTAAATGAAACGGGCTTCTGGTTTGCGTCCTGCTTCTCTTGTCCTGTCCCCAAGTGCCTATGCCTTAGGTGACTAACTCCTAACCTTGTTCCTGTGATTGAGTCCCTGGCCCTCACCAGCCGTGAGGCTTGGTCCGGAGTCTCAGTCTTCCTTGATCTGACCCATCCTGTTGCCACCTGAGCTTAGCCTCTGATGTTCCATATGTAATTAACTTAGTTTCCCAGGTAACCATATCCTATTTGAAAGGTGAGGTCACAAGGACCTCACAATGCCGACGTACTGGGGTTTTATGTTCTATGTTCCAACTTTAAAAGGGAAAGAAAGCAACAAGTCTACTATGCATAAGGCTATATATAGAGAGAAGGAATTTCCTGACAATGCTTAAGATTTCTTCTAATTGGCAACCTTTTGAAGGTTATGATGTACTAAGCATTTATGTAACTTACAAAGTTTGGAGGTTTCTGGTTCCAAAGCTGAAAACAGCTTGAAGAAGCTTTATTTAAAAAAAAAAAAATTGAAGTGGCCAAATCCTGGACTATTTTAAATACCTGGAAATGGAGTAAATAAGGTCAAGTTAAACGGGGATGATGGGAAGGGTACATGGTAGGGTAGGCTGAGTAGCAACTAATAACAGTAATAATAGAGTTCAAGTAATACCCAAGGTGCTTCTAGAATTACTTTTTTGATATCTCAAATATCATGCTGTAAGTATACTACATCACATACAGCTTCAATCACAAAATGGACAGTGGGACATCACACTGCTAACTCAGATTGACTCAGGTTTGAATCCTGACACTGTCACTTACTACTAGCTGTGCAAGTTTTACTTATTCAACAAACGTTTATTAAACACCTACTATAAACTGGATACTGTACTAAGAACTTGAATACAAAGTCAGATGAGACACTGCCCTGGCTGTGAGAAGCTCATGGAATAGTGCAAGGATCAGCCAGTGGCAGCTGATATGCTATATTTGGCCTACCCACCTGTTTTTGTACAGCCTTCGAGCTAAGAATGGCATTTACAGTTTTACATGGTTGAAATTTTTTTTAATATTTTGTGACACATGAAAATTATGTGAAATTCAAATTTCAGTGGACATAAATAAGTTCTCTTGGAACACAGCCATGCTTTTCTATTATCATATATTCTGTGGTTGTTTTTGTACTATAAAGGTAGAGTTAAGTAGTTGTGACAGAGACCATAAGGCCTGTAAAACCTAAAATATATACTATCTGGCCGTTTACAGAAAAAAGTTTGGTGCCCCCTGGTCTGGCAGGATGTGCAATTACAATATAGTTCATTTTCATTCCATGAAGAGACACAGGTTGCCATGAGAACATGTAAGAAGGGACACTTAACCCAGATTTGGAAAGTGAGTGACATCTCCCTGGTGGAGGTGGCACCTGAGCTGAGGACCTGAGGACAGTAATAAGGCCAAAAAAAAGGCTGAAGGGCAGCAGGGAATAGCATGAATGAGTTGAGGAAGATGAGGAACATAGGGCATTCAGAGGGGCTATAAGTCCTGTACAGCTTGGACATGGGTTTCTAAAGCAAACGAGATTAGGCAGGTAGGCTAGGGTAGCTCATGGATCCCTCAAAGGCACTGGAAAGGCAATGGAACAATTTAAGCATGGGAATGACACAGTGGATTGTTTTTTTCTTTCCAGAAAGATCAGTCTGGAGTTAGTGAAAGAGTGGAAGAGAGGAAAAGGCAAGACTGGTGGGGTAAAGAAGAGTTAGGACACTGTCAGCAATAATCCAGATGAGAATATGGTGGCCTAAGCAAAGGCAGTGGAGATGTGGGTGGAGAGGACAGACAGGTGGGAAAGAGGTTTAGAAGGCGTATCAATGGGACTGGGTACAGAAATCAGGAAAGTGAGGCAGAATACAGACAAACACTCAGATTTTTGATCTGTGAGAATTAGTGGATGAATGGTAGAGCTATATAAGGGGTGAGGGAAACAAAAACGAGAGCCGATATGGGGAGGGGATGGGTTCAGTTTTGGAGAAGTTCATTTTGAGCTATCTGTGGGACATCTACGTGGAAGTGTCCAGTCACCTGTGAGATACGTGTGTCTGCAGCTAGGAGACAAATCTGAACTGGAGGTAGTATAAGGCAGCCAGCAATGAAAATTTAAAAATCAATCTGGCAGGCAAGAGATCAATCAGGCTCTGCAGTCAGACCAAGTCATGACTTCTGGTTCTGTCCTTTATAAGCTGTGTGTACCCTCCCTAAACCTCAGTATTTTTATCTTTAAAAATTGAAGGAATAATAATAATAATCTCAAAGGTCGTTGTGGGGATTAAATGAGATAATACAAGTAAATCACTCAGCACAATGTTTGGCACATAACAACTGATCAATAACGTTACCATTGTAGCATCATCATCCCAATCATTATTAACAACATGTAAGTGACAGTTGAAGCCATATGAGTAAAGTCAAAGGATGAAACCCCTGGGAACCTAGAATAGATGCATGTTCTAAGTTTACTAAACCTTGGTTTACTCACTGTAAATTAGGAATATTATATTTCTCTCATTGTCATGGAGTAAAAAGGGTTATGGAACAAAGTAAAAGTAGACCAGGGTAAAAAGCACTGGGAATGCTGAGCTGGTGATCAGCAGTATTATACGGGGTAGGTAGGCAGGGCTCTTGGGGCCAGGAAGTAGTGCCACTCAGCTCTCCTTTCAATATAACCTGCTCTGAGGAATATAAGTGGCTGACAACCTTCAGCTTCTACCCCTTTGGAGCTGCTAAGGCACTTAGCCCAAAGCCACTCTCTCAGCAGCCCCTAGCCAAAGACTGCACTTGGTGGGGTTAATGAAGTCAGCATTTTTCCTAACATGGGACACCTCTAGAGGGATATCTTTTCTCTGGGGTTCTCTTTGCCCTGGCCAAGACTTTCTCAGAGCTGCACTGCAATCTGAGGTTCATCCTACCTCATCCTCCTTCCTGCCCTCTCTTTTTCACAGGTGTCAGATCTGCACGCACCAGAAGTCTCTCTCTCCTCCTCTTGCTTCCTAGCTCATCAGTTCTTATAGGTGTTCCTCTCAATAAATCTCTTACGTATCTCATTCCATGTTGTTGTCTGCTTTTCATCTGACCTGGCCTGACAGCCTCATGGAGAAGGTGAGATTTGAACAAAGCTTTGGAGGAGGTAAAGGAGTTAGCAATGCAGATCATCTGGGGCGGGGAAGGGAATTCAGGCAGAAGAGAGAGCCCCCAAAAGTTCCTATGTCAGGAAGTAGGTGTCTGGCATGTTTCAGGAGTAGAAGGATGCCACAGAGTCTGGAGCAGAGGAAATGAGGGGAAGGTTGTAGGAGAGGAGGGCCTAGAGGTTAGGGGGTAGGCAGATAGTATAGGATCCTTAGGCTATTTTAAAGTTTGGTTTTTAATTTGAATGAAAAAGGAGTCCTTACAGGTTTTGAACTGAGGAATGACATGATTTGACTCACTTTCCAATTTTTTTTACTGATATGGGAGGCAGGTGTTCAGAACAATATTTATTTTTACAGTCGCAGTGAGATTTCAGGCCTCAGAAATGTATTCTGTAATCGTTTGCTTTCACACAGGTTTTCTTGGTCATGGCCAAGATTTGAGAACAGCAAGTGTTTTGGAGCCTCCTGCACTATAAAAGCAGGTAGAAAATTGAATTCTGACTGCTGCACGACCACAGTTCTGTATTCATACTCACCCCTCACTCCCACCACATTCCTGGTGACTTGAAAGATTTTCCAATTGATGAAGTGAGTAAGATGTGATTCAATGTTTTCATTGCACTGATTTTCTTGAGTGATCTAAGGAGACAAGTAAGCTAGTAGTATTGAACTGAGAAATTAAAAGCCCCTGACTCATCATAATAACAGGAAGAGGTAAAAACCGTACTAACAATCTAATTGAAGTCAGTGCCTGAATATGTGATCATTAGTAGGAAGAAATGATGTTCCTTCGATTTTTTTCCTCAAATCTACTTATGTGATTACCTAGAAAATAATGCAATACTGTATTGTTGCATAAATAAGAAATATCAGAAATTTGGATTTTGGAATATTGTATATGTGGCAGAGACTGGACATTTTTCTGGAATATCCATTATTCTGAGTGTGTGGCTGGTGTGTGGATGTCCGGCCTCCCCTGTAGCTGGTTGTAGCTTTATGGCTCACAGAGCACAGTGGACATAATATGTGCAACTTATTTGTCTCATCTTTAAAAGTCGCTTCCTGAGTCTTTCATTTTCTGCAAGCTAGAATGAAGACATGGTAGTAGTAAAGCCAAATTAACCCTCCAGGTGAGGATAATGCTCTAGGGTTGATGGCAAGAAATAATGAACCCTGGTCTCTGGTTGTCTTCATAACCAGGGCCACCTACCCCTCTTGAACCCTGTGTCTACCTCTGAGCTGGTATATGAGAGAAAAAGAAACTCTATGGAGTTTGAGCCACTGACTTGGGGTGGGGGAAGAATCTTTTACAGCAAATTAGCATATTTTAAAAATTAATATATTTTAAAAATTAAGAGAGATACTTGTAAATTGTACCAGTCAGAGAGCATCTACCACAAGAAACAATCCAATAACACATCATAATCTACTAGAGTAAGAAGAGGACTATGGATAAAACTGAATTAGCCACAAAGAGGGGAAAACATAGACTGTTTGGTGACTTTATTGTTTTAATGGAGTTGTTCAGTAAAAACACACCCCGATGTTTAAGTGTGGAGTTTTCTTTTGAAAAGAGCTGAT
The DNA here is from genome assembly GCF_000001405.40 of Homo sapiens. NCBI lineage: Eukaryota > Metazoa > Chordata > Mammalia > Primates > Hominidae > Homo > Homo sapiens. Next base: position 118,843,220 of record NC_000004.12, read on the forward strand.
GTTCCCATTGTTAATCACAATGGATACTGTTTCACTGGCCAAGAATGAAGGTGACTTTTCGGATTGAGAAAGGAGAGGCTCCCCTTCCTCTTCCTCCAAGGTCTAAACGTTGAGTCTAGACTGAGAGATACTGAGAAGTCTGCAACTGTGCCACTTGAGAGAGTTACATCTCAAGAGTTAATCTCAGCCACAGGAAGACAGGTCACAAGCCAGTGCTTGTGTTTGCGGCAGCAGTGAGGCTGGGAGCCCATTTCTAGGCCAGCCCCATGTGTCAGCGCCCTTCAGCCCCACTGGGGCAGTTCTGAGTTCCATCACCACTAACAAGAATCAAGAGCAACTCTTTGATCCCGAGGGGCAGGGTTCTCTCTCGTTTTAGACCTGAGGAGTGGAGGAGATGCAGATGGCAGAGCATGGTGGCAAGATCTGGCTAGAGTGGACAAATCTGAGGATTGCACTCAGAAATAGCCACAATTCAGTCCCTGGAGAACCTTCAGAAACCACTGTGTCACCCTGAAGTGGGGACTGAATTCAGTGAACAGACAGGACCTTGTCCCATCGTATATATATATATCACTAGCAGATAGTATCATATTGACTTCTGAGAACACACTTTTTAGATTTCAGTTTTCAAGATTTGTTTCCAGGTTGAAATTTTTCTCAATTAATGCAAGAGAAGAGTTAACATTTGTTCTGGTGACTACTATAAAGAAAAGCTATGAAAGTCAAATCAATATAGTATTGCCATCAAGATAAAAATATTAAGAAAACAGATTAGCATTATAGAAATAGATCCACATATATATAAATTGATTTTTGGCACAGGTATAAACAGACTTTTCTTGTCTCTTTAACAAATTGTGCTGGAACAATTAGGTATACACAGGCAAAAAAAAAAAAAAAGAATCTCAATCCCTACCTTGCACCATATAACAGAATTAATTCAAAATAAAGTACAGACCTAAATGAAAAATCTAGAACTCTAAAATCAAGATCACATCACAAAGACTTTCTCCTTTTTTCCTGGATACTTCTAAGTTCCAAGAGGATCAAAAGCATATGTCCATAAATAGGCCAAGCGTGGGGGCTCATGCCTGTAATCCTAGCACTTTGGGAGGCCGAGGTGGGCGGATCACCTGAGGTCAGAAGTTCGAGACCAGCCTGGCCAATGTGGTGAAACCTCGTCTCTACTAAAAATACAAAAATTAGCTAGCCGTGGTGGTGCACACCTGTAATCCCAGCTACTCAGGAGGCTGAGGCAGGAGAATCACTTGAATCCAAGAGGTGGAGGTTGCAGTGAGCCGAGATTGCACATTGCACTCTTGCCTAGGCAACAGAGTGAGTGAGACTCCATCTAAAAAAAAAAAAGTTTATGTTCATAAGTAGATTCATATACAAATGGTTACAATAGCTTTATTTATAATAACCAAAAACTGAAATTAACCCTAATGTCTATGAACAGGTGAATAAACAAATTGTGGTATATCCTGACAAAGGAATATTCAGCAACGAAAAGAAATGAACTACTGGTACATGCAGCAAATAAATAAATCTCACAATAATGTTGAATGAAAGAAGCCAGACATACAAAGAATATATGATTTTATTTACATAAATTTCAAGAAAATGCAAACTGATCTATAGTGACATAAGGTAGATCAGTAGTTGCATGGAACATGGAACTGAGGAGAGGGCAGAGAGAGGTGGGTGAGGGGCACTATAAAGAAGAAGGGGATACTTTGGGGTGATGGATATGTTCATTATCTAGATTGGTTTTACAGGTGTGTATATGTATATATACATATATCAAAATGTATCAAATTGTATATTTTAAATATGTACAGTTAATTGTATTTTAGTAGATTTCAATAAAGTTGTTAACTTTTTTTATTGAATTTATGATTTTTTATAGAGGCTTGATGTATTTGTGATATTAAGATTTCTAGACCCAGAACATAACCTGGTTTTTTTTTTGTTGTTGTTTTTTGTTTTTTTTGCCTTTGGGCCCTTCAATAAGTTAGGTGTTTTTGTTTTTTAAGGTATAGGTCCTGTCTTTTTTAACCTATTTTTTTACTATTATGTTTTATGTGAATCTGCTTTTTTCCATTTCTATTTCTAGTGTTTATTACCAGTAAAGAAATTTCTAAATAAATATGAGTGATCAAATTATCAAATTATCTTTCTTATTTTATTACTTTAAAATTGCAATTTTGGGGTTTTCTAGATATACAGCAACCTCATCAGCATTGCATTTTTTTTCTTATTGCACCTGCAAGAAACTCCAAAATAATATTGATTAATAAACTTGCTGTTGAACATTTCTCTCTGATTGTGCTTTTAAAGGAAATGACTTTAGCATATACATTTAGAATAATATTTTAATGTATCAGCCCTACTGTGCCATGATATCTGATTAAACACAATTTCTGGGTTTGTTTTTGATTGTTTTTGGAAGAGAATAGCATTTGAATTGATGGAATGAGTAAAGTAGGTATCCTTCCCCAATGTGGGTGGGCCTCATCCAATCAGTTGAGAGCCTGAATAGAACAAAAAGGTAGAAGAAAGTTGAATTCCCTCTCTAACTGACTACTGAGCTGAAACATTAATCTGCCATCTGCACTTTTGTTCCCAGGAGAATCCTGACTAGTGTAAGTAGTGGGCATGGCAAATACAGAAACAGCTGTTCTGGCTTGCTTGCTTTCCTTTAGTAGAGAGTAGAAAGCTAAAACTACATTTTCCAGAATTCCTTGCATTAAGGCTTTTAAAACTTCATTGATTTTTTTTCTGTATTTTCCAAATTTTCTACAATTAACCCATAATTCACTTACTCAAGTACATATTGCTGGCAAGTGGCTGAGCCAAGTATACCCAACCAGATCTGTTGAACCCTTGATCCCTAAACTATTGCAATGAGAGTGCAATAGAGAGTGCAATAGAGTCCAATGAGAGTGTTGGCTTCACACTGGATTTATTTCCATATTGCAACTGCATTAAATTTCTAAATTTTATTTGCATCATCTATTTTATCTGGAAATTCTAGTGAAGAGGACAGCCCAGCATACATGCTGGTTCTTGTCTTTTAGTGAACTTATGTATGTACCCTTGGCTTTGCTACTTTTAGCTCTATTTACTTGTGAGAAATACTACATGTTGCTATTACTGTGATCTCTTTTGTTCCTCTGTTATGAAGGAAGCTACTCATTTGTTGAGGGGAGCAATTTCAATATGTCAGAAGCTGATTTTGCCCCTCCCTACTCTTACTCTTTTAGGTGTGCCTCTTTACCTGGAGCTAATGTGCCATGCAAGAGTGGCTGTCAACTTAACATCACCTAGAATTCACAGGATAATTAAGTGTCAGAGCTGTAGCCTCAAACATCATTCTAGCCCAATACTTTCATTCAGATAGTCAGACTCATAGTGCCATGAATTTTGGAAGAGCTGGGACTAGAACCTAAATCTCAATTTGCACTCCAGTGGCTTTTTATGATTCCAAACTTTATCCACATTTTCCGTACTTTACTTTCATTCAAAAGCCTCTTTTAAGAGTTTAATTTCAAATTATAACTGCATGTTAAGATGATACTTTGAAACCAACTTTAAAAAACAGAATAAGCTTCTTAAAAAAGTATATACACACACACACACACACACACACACACACACTTATATATATATTAAAATGCCCCCACCTCCACCCACACACACGGACACACACAGACACAACTCAGGGAGGGGAGGGGAGAGAAGGGAAGAAAGGAAGGGAAAGTCTTCCATTTATGGCTTGCTTTACCCAACACTGTACAGTCCTTGATAACCTGAGGATTTGGCTCTCAGCTTCTGCCTTTCTAGGCTCTATGCCTTCTTTCTGTGGCTGGGATCCACTGTTTCCAAGTAATCCAAAGGAAGGTGCAAAAGTGCTTTTGTAGCCTGATGCTTTAACTATAAAAGCCAGTTCTTCTGCCTCCAGATTTCAGCTTTAACATCTCATCTTTGCATAAAGTAGGAACAAAGTGTCTCTGAGTGGGGAGTAGAAGTTGGAAAACCAAACTGTTCTCCTTAGATAGGATGATTTTACCATTTACACCTTCAGAGAGGCGAGACAGCCTCCTTCCTCCTGTTCCTGAGGCTGAGAGCTATCTTTCCCATTTAAATATAGTACTAATACCTTTTCCTCTACTCTCCCTACCATACTTTCAAATCATTTGTTACTCCCACTAAACTGACCATACAGCTTACAATAAAACAATATTTTAAACAGAAAAATAAGTGGAAAAATTCTAGTTTATCAGAGATCTCATCACTTCTACATAAAACTTTGCTTCAATAAGTTTGTTTTTTTGTTTGTTTTTTGAGACAGGTTTCACTCTATTACCCAGGCTGGAGTGCAGTGGGGAGATCATGGCTCACTGTAGCTTCAAACTCCCAGGCTCAAGCTGTCCTCTTACCTCAGTCTCCCAAGCAGATGGGACCACAGGTGCCCACCACCTTGCCTGGCTAATTTTTTTTTTTTTTTTTTTTTTGTGGAGATGGGGGTCTCACTATGTTGCCCAGGCTGGTCTCAAACTCCTGGGCTCAAATAATCCTCCTGCCTCAGTCTCCCAAAATGCTGGAATTACAGGCATGAACCACCACATCCAGCCTTCAGCAAGTCTTAATATTTTTTATTCTTAATATTAAGGACCCTAACTTTTATATTCCTATATAGTCTCCACAGATGTTGACTAATTTCTCAGATGATTTTCACATCTCTTTCTTTCTTCTGTAATTTCTGTCTTGTTTTCTTATTTCTTGTCTTCCTCTACTAGTCCTTTTAAAAAAATCAGCTCCCTGCTTTCATGAATATAGTGCTTACAAGTTACTGAAAAGCATCATGACCATAACAAGCTTACTAGAAATCCAATGTCACTGAATCCTCCCAGTAGCAAATAAATGATGCCTCCCCTGCCTTTGTGATTATTGTTTCTGCTCTTAGGATGAATGGATAGACATGGAGTCTTTATATATAGAAGTATCATTCATCATTTCTAAAAGTAAGATAATATCCTATTGATAAAATCTATAAAAACTATGAATATTCTGCATCTCCTCAGTAATTTATATACATCTCTGTCCAAATTTGTCTTTTTTTTTTTTTTTGAGACAGGGTCTTGCTGTGTTGCCCAGGCTGGAGTACAGTGGCATGAACACGGCTTACTGCAGCCTCTACCACCTGGGCTCAAGCAGTCCTCACACCTCAGCCTCCCAAGTAGCTGGGACCACAGGTGCGCAACACCACGCCCAGCTAATTTTTAAAAATTTTCTGTAGAGCTGGGGTCTCGCCATGTTACCCAGGCTTGTCTCAAACTCCTGGGCTCAAGTGATCTCCCACCACTGTCTCCCGGAGTGTTGGGATTACAGGCGTGAACCACTGTACGTGGCCCAAATTTGCCTTGAACAAGTTATCTCTGGCTCTGTGTTTAGGCAACACCTATTGATGTGATCTCTAGGCACCTTACTAAGAATATTGTGCCAGCATTCTGCCTTTAAGACCAGGAAAACAGAGCACAATGAGGATTTAAGTATGAGAACAACCTCCTTGCTTATATCACTTATTATAAATCTTTTATTTGACAAAATTCTTCTTATAGATTATTTTTAGTACTAGAATTAGAAAACCTAATGAAGTTTAGATCACTACGAGTTCATATGCAATGTCATGTGTAGATAAATTAATTGAAGGTGCTTTATAAACTAAGAATATCCCATTTTTTCTAAAACACCCTTTTCATAAAACACACTTCCAAGTTTCTATACTTTTCACTGAAAACTGCAAGGGCTCACTGATTATGGGGATTTGAGCCAATCATGAAGTAAGTCTCTGGCAGGCTTATCTGTAACTAACACTGATATCACTTGAATTCAGGGGATGGCAAATAGGGCCATGATGTTGGTCTTAAGAATTTTAATCCTTTTTCAAAAGAACTGTGAATGACCAGCTATGTTAAAATAAAAGACTAGAAAGTTGGCTCTGGGGAAAGAAACCTCACAAAACAACATCCCTGTTAAAGAAATGTCAAATCTCTTAAAAAAAAAAAAACAACTAAATTTGCATAATATTCAAGGAATTCTAGCAATATTAAATAATTTGTGAAACAAGTTTTTAAAGGGCATAATACATGCTTTGTATACTGGACTTGTGTTTTATAAACCCTAACTCTTTGTTTGCCAGGTTATATGTTGGAATGTAAGAAGAAATACCAAATTTGGTACTTTCTGTGAGACATTTGGGTTTTCTTTGCTCTTTATTTAACATAATGTGAGTCTACATAAAATGCCTCATACCGTAGTATTTTGTGCTTGGAAGGAGAATTCATCTTCTCTGGGTGTAGAGAGGAGAAGTGGATTAAAATAGTATTAGAAATAGATTTCAAATGCAAATACAGGCACTCCTTGACTTAAGATGGGGCTATGTCATGATAAATCCATTGTAAGTTGAAAATATCATAAGTCAAAAATGCATTTAAGACAACTAATCTATCAAACATAGCTTAGCCTAATTTACCTTAAATGTGCTCAGAACACTTGTATTAGCCTAAAGTTGGGCAAAATCATCTAGCAGCACAGTACACTGTATATTACAGGGTGTTTAACCTCAAGATCATTTGGCTAACTGGGAGCTGCAACTTACTGCCACTGCCCAACATCCTGCAAGAGAGTAGCATTACACTGTGTATCGCACTCTGGGAAAAAATCAAAATTCAAAATTCAAAGTATGATTTTTATTAACTGTATCACTTTTGTGGAATCTTCCTAAATTGAGGACATTTTGTAATCATTTTCAAGATGTTTGTATTAAAATAAGTTAAATATACTGTTTAACCCAAAGTGAAGAGATGGGTTCTTAGAGAAAACATCTTGAGAACAATCCGGAAAGTGATTGTTATTCTTTGTTGGTAGAGCAGGAAAGGGCATTCCTGGAAGAGAAAGCACCTAAACAAGAGCATAGAAATGTAAAGCAACCTGGAGATCTAGGGGGAACTGCAAGCTTTTTGATATGGCAGGAGCAAGGAACATGTTTGTCATGGCTGAGGAGGGGCCCCACCAAGCAACAGTATGAAGATGTAATCAAGGGCCAGATAATGAATGGCAGTTTAAGTACCATTGAGGTGTTAGTGATTTATCCTGGAGGGAGGCATCAAAAGGTTTCAAAACAGGAAAACAGCATGATCTGTTGCTTTTGTACTATTGGTTTTGGCAGCAATGTAGAGGATGGAATGGAAGCTTGTGAGACTAGGGCAAAAAGAACTAAGAAAACAGCACGATAATATAGAAAAAAAAACAAGGAACAGTGTTAATAGAGGGCCATCCAATTGAATGTATGAGGTGGAGGAAGGTGAGAATGGAAACTAAGGTGATGTGCTGGGTGGGGAGGGGCCAAGAAAGAGGATACAGGAAGAGAGTGCTTTGCAGGAAAACGTTTGTTTCACTTTCAATTTGTTGCCTTCAAAATATTCAGAACATGTTGCTCTGGAGCTCAGGAGAGAAGGTGAAGTAAAGATCTGAATTCGGCAACTCGGAAGCGAAGCTCCAATCTTGAGGATGGATCAGATTGGTGAGGGAGACTGTCATATAGAGTGAGAAGAGAGATCCAAGGACAGAACTGCAGGAAGCATCAATATTTGAGGAATGAGAAAGGAAGAAAAGCCTCCCACAAAAGAGATGAGACAAGAGGAATGGTTACACAGGTAGGAAGAGAAGCAGAGATGAATGGTGTCCTCTTTATATTTCAATCACCTGAACTCATTACTCATTATTGCCTGCGAATATCAGGTGCTTCACTGTTTCTCAGCTTTTACTCATACCTTTCATCTTTTCAAAAGGAGTTTTAAAATCCTACTCACTTTTCAGAGTCTTAGTGGAATACCAGGTCTTTCGTCAGAACTTTCCTGACTGTTATCACGATCTTTCTTCCTCACATTGTCCTAGTAACCCCAGCATCATGAAATTGAATACAATTACATTATTTAAGACAGTCTTTCAACAACTTTTTGGTCTCAGGAACCCTTGACATTCTTAAAAATGATTGAGGATTGACCAGTCTGACCAACACGGAGAAACCCCGTCTCTACTAAAAATACAAAATTAGCCTGGCGTGGTGGTGCATGCCTATAATCCCAGCTACTTGGGAGGCTGAGGCAGGAGAATCGCTTGAACCTGGGAGGCAGAGGTTGCGGTGAGCCGAGATTGCACCATTGCACTCCAGCCTGGGCAACAAGAGCAAAACTCCATCTCAAAAAAAAACAAAAAACAAAAACGAAGATTGAGGATCCCAAAGAGTTTTGTGCTTTTGCTTATATAAGATATAGCTATCGATATTATGGAATAAAACAATTAAAACTCATTGTTACAATATTTATTAACTTATTTAAAATAGCAATAATGTCATTGCATGTCAATGTAAGTAACATTTTGATTAAAAATACTGTATTTTTTAAAACAGAAAAATGTAGTGAGAATAGTGGCATTATTTTACATTTTTTCAAATCTCTTTAATGTCTTGCTTAATAGAACACAGCTGGATTATCATAACCACCTCTATATTCAATCTATTGTGATGTACCATTTTGGTGGAAGTATGGAAAAAAAATCCACTCTCATACAGGGATGTAGTTGGTGGGGGAAAGGGCATATTTTAATAGTCTTTTCAGAAAACTGTGGATATTCTTTGATACCACACCAAAACTCAGCAAGAGTTTTTTTTTTCCCTAGAGGTTAATTGCAATGTGGAATCTGAAACCATAGCAAGAAAGTTTTCTAACTGTTATATTAAAATTCATTGGTCTATCATACAATTTGGTGAATTTGAATGATTTTGCAACATCACACATTTGTCACTTAGAAAATATTGATTTGCCGTATAAAAAAAGCTCAATATCACGGACCATTAGGGAAATGCAAATCAAAACCACAATGAGCTGCCATCTCACACTAGTCAGAATGGCTGTTGTTAAAGAGAAAAAATAACAGATCCTGGAGAGATTGTGGAGAAAAAGGAACGTTTATACATTGTCTGTGGGAGTGTAAATTAGTTCAACCATTGTGGAAGACAGTGTGGTGATTCCTCAAAGACCTAAAGACAGAAATACCACTTGACCCAGCAATCTCATTACTGAGTATATATACAAAGGAATATAAATCATTCTATCATAAAGAAACACGCACACGTATGTTCATTACAGCAGTATTCGCAATAGCAAAGACATAGAATCAACCTAAATGCCCATCAGTGACAGATTGGATAAAGAAAATGTGGTACATATACACCATGGAATACTATTGCAGCCATAAAAAAAGAACAGTATCATGTCTTTTGCAGGGACATGGATGAATCTGGAGGCCATTATCCTCAGCAAACTAACACAGGAACAGAAAACCAAATACCACATGTTCTTATAAGTGGGAGCTAAATGATGAGAACACATGGACACATAGAGGGGAACAACACACACTGGGGCCTATTGGAGGCTGGAGGGTGGGAGGAGGGAGAGAATCAGGAAAAATAACTAATGGGTACTAGGCTTAATACCGGAGTGACAAAATAATCTGTACAACAAACCCCATTACACAAGTTTACCTATATAACAAACCTACACAAGTACCCCTGAACTTAAAAGTTAAATTTAAAAACATTGATTTTCTGGGTTATTCAAGTCCTCCAAATGTTGACATGTTTCATTATTACATTTTGTTAATATTACCATCAATTTCATCAGAAAAGCTTTTAAATATTAAGAAATTGTCAAGCTCACAGTGGCAGACACAACTTTTCCAAATTCATATTTTTACTTGAAAGCTCAAGTTTTATCATTGGCAAGAAACACAAGAGTTTTTTTCTTTGATGTAAGAGGATCACTTCGTTAATTTTCAAGAAAATGTCATGCCATTCTCCTGAGGAACCTAGAGATAAGAGGAGGAAGTTGACTTCATTCCTATTTGTATTTTCCTTTCAGCTCATAGCAAAAGTTCTGGGGCTTAGTAGGTTCTCAACAGATGTTTGTAGATTTGAATTGAATTTATTTCCATTGTGAATTTAAACTGCTGTAAGTGTTTCATTATGACCCAGTTTGCCCAAGATGATCCCCACTTATGTTTATTCTCTTCATATACCATCAAATTTAGGATATTTCCCCCCCTCCTGATTTAAATAAGTAGTATTAAGCATTGCAACAAAATGTCGGCATGAATTTGATGGACCTAAACTTGGCAATTGCAATTTCTATTCTAGGTTCACCCAGAAGTGTGAGACTATGGTTCAGAAAACAGAACTCTCATCTTAACCCATATAAAGACAGAGATAAGCCTATCTCTCTAGTTTAGAACTTTTCTAACTGCAGAATAATTAATGCCTCCTGTTCAGGACAGTATGCAGAGTCATAACTGGTAAAACAATGTACATTTGGACTCAAGTGGCTAGGGTGAGTTAAATCCTTCTGGTCTTAGGGGTAGCGGGAGAAGTATTCAACATCATTGCCTCCTACAGTCTTGGCATTGTAGCCAATTATGCCATGGCCTGTGCTGCAAGACTCAATATGTAAGAAGCTGCCAGGCTACCAGGCTGCCAATTAGCAGTGTCATGGGGAAATGTGGGAAATTACAGATTAGGTGTACATGGAATATGTGCAGGAAAGAGGCTGGATACCATACTTTGTACAGAGAGTGGTCTGACGCTATTGCAATAGCCATTTTGTGACTATCCTATGGTGTAAACCTTTCATATGTTATTTTGTTGTCAATGCTTTTTTAAAAAAATGCAATAAACTCTCCTGGCAGCAATGAACCAAAAGCTAAGAATATTTAGTGAAAAATTAAGTACTGAGTTTCTGTTTCTCCAAAAAGCTAATGATAAAAGTGTCACTTAGAAAAATGTTGAAATTTCCCATCCAGCAATGGAACATAACTGCTAATTACACAAAAAACAAAGAATCTGCTTCAGAAGTTAATGTTACCTTAAGATAATTGTACCTGCCCAGAGATCATGATTTAACATGTACAGCTGCAGAAAGTGTATTTACATGTCACTCTGTGAAGCATGACTTTCCATTTGTTGATTTCAGAGCCCAAGTTTTCTTGTAAACATATAAAAAGTAAAGCAATAGCTATCATTTTATTGGTTCCATTAATAGAATAACTTCACAAATTGTTAAATGATAAGAATTTTATAGCAACATATTAGATGCTGCAAATAGAAAACCAGCCAATTCAAAATAGTTCAATTTTTTTTCTATATGAATCAAGGAATCAAAGTAAAACTAGTTTAATTTCATTCTGTCAAGAAACAGCTGATACTATTGTTAAAGCCATTGTAAATTTACTTTAAAAGTTCAGCATTGAAGATAAAATTATTTGCTTCTGCAGCAATAAAATCAATACGAATTTTAGTGAAACATCTTGTCATTATAAAAACAATATTCCACCAAATTAACAAACATATAAAGGAGGAATTATGCTTATAATTGGTTGTGGTACATCAAAAAATGCATAATGGCATCCTGAAAGAGCTAACAACTGAAATTGAAGTTATAGTTGTCAAATTTTATAAATACTTTGTACATACACACAGAGTAATTGAACTATATAATTTGTATACACCTAATTTTGAAATAAAAAATAATTCAGATGCAGCACAGAAGTAGGTACTTTCTCCTTTACTACTCATTATTAATCAAATTTAAAATGCTTGAGCCCTTAACATTTTTGTAAATGGAGCTAAGTGTTATATGATAATATCAAACTCACTTGCAAGTGTTCAAAATCAAAACTGTCAGTAAATAGAGTGCCCAGATTCAGCTAGTGAAGTGTTTAGCAAGTTGCAATGAATGACAACAATATTTGCAAACAGGATGACGTTCCAATTTATTTTTACTAAAGCAAAAAAAAAAAAAGATAACACATTAAATAAGGTTCAAGTGATGGGCAAAATTTGACTTTGAAATTTGATGGTAGATCTTTGGAATATTTTGACTCATTAAAAGAATCTTTTGATAAATCTTCTATTTTTAGTTGGAAAAAATTCTCTGTGCTGAAATAGAATGAAATTTAAGAGAATCTAAATTTGGTAAGCATTCAAAAGAATCTCACAGACAATTTGCTTGACGAATTATTTATTGAAATAATTACTCTCAATGGAGGCAAAAAGACAGTAATTGTGAAAATATTTTAACTGAGATATTAGTATTTTTCAATACAAAGCAATCATAATTGAGAATATTCTCAATTTAGGATTACTTTTTATCTGAGTAGATATCGCACAACTGTAGAGAGAATATTTTCATATTAAATGTAGTTTCATTGAAAGAGAATAATCAATTGAAGGTGTCAATAATTTCAAATACATTAACCATTAAAATGCCACTTTAAATATTGCCAGTAACTTTGTGAAGCCATACAAAATAATTAGACTATAGTAAAATAAAATATTTTTCAGGAAAATGTCAGTGACATGATATTAGAGATGTTTATGACTAAGAAACTGATTGAAGTAGGTGAAGATGTCATAACAATAATTATTGTCTATATCATTTTTACTGTCTATTGATTATTTCTTTAGAGATATAACTTACATAAAGCCCCCCAGACTTACAACTTAATGATTTCTTGCACACATATATACTTGTGCAGGCAGCACTCAGATCTCTCTCCCTCTTTCTCTTTCTTTTTCCCTTTTTCTTTTTCTGTCTATAAAATCCAGCTCAAATATAATTTCTTCTCTTGGCAGTGTTTCATAAGCAGCCTTCTCATCAGAACTCCCAGAAAAATTCTTTGTTTATCTTCTGGGATACCATAACATAGTGGATCTATTATACTTCTCTTCTAGCCCATGTTGTATGGTATATTGTGATTTGCATTTATACCTGGCCCCACAGCTAGTCAGCGAGTCATTTGAGGGTAGGAGCCATATATATTTTTTCAGCTTTATCCTAAGTGCCTAGCACTGTGTGCAAGTAACATATTCGGTGCTCAGAAAATGTCCTATCAAATGAATTATCTCTTTAGTTATTGTTATCATCTAATAGGGTTAAATACATTGTTGGCTCTCAATAATTATTTTTTGAAGTAAGTAACCCAATATCTTCTTGTTCATTGGAGTTTATGCATACTAGTTTTGAGATACATACAGATTTATTAGGGGGGATTATAAAACCTAACAGAGGATAATGAAGGCCTCCTTACCAGCAAAACTTCGCACTAAGCCATGGTTTATAGTGGAATGCACATAAATTACTCCAGATTATTATTTCGAATATATATGCTATTTTATTTTATTTTATTTCATTTTATTTTATGTTTATTGACTTTTTTTTGAGACAGGGTCTCGCTCTGTTGCCCAGGCTGAAGTGCTCACTGCAGCCTCAATCTCAAGTCATCCTTCCACCTCTGCCTCCTGAGTAGCTGGGACCACAGGCACATATCATCACACTTGGCTAATTATTTTATTTTTTGTAGATGGCATCTCCTGATGTTGCCCAGGCTGGTCCCGAACTCCTGGGCTCAAGCGATCTGCTTGCCTTGGTGTCCCAAAGTGCTGGGATTACAGGCGTGAGCCACACCTGGCCTATATTTTTAAAAATAGTGTTTCTTCTTCTATTGTTGGTAAGAGGAAGAAAAATGCAAAGAACCTTCAATTGAATAGAAATAATGGACGTTCTCTCTTTCTTTTCATTCTGTATGGTATTTTAAGTAAAGAATATGAATTTACTTTGCTTTTAAAACATCAATAAAAGCTCTTTATTCATAAATGTATTCTTTATAAGTATAGCCCACAGTATAGACTTTTATATTTATAATTTAAAAGAAAATATTGGCATCAAAATAATTTATTAATAAATATATAATCAAGCTACTTATATGATGATAGTGTATTAAACTCAGCAATTGCCACAGGATCTATCATCCATGAATGCTGTAACCCTTTTCCAAACACTAAAAACACAAAATACAGGTAAGTATTTATTCTCTTATCTTCTGTATTGAAGGCACGGAATAATTTAACAAAGAAGTGCAAAAGAAACACTAAATGTGGGGAAATTCTTCATTTTGGGAAATTATTAGTAGTAGGGCATATCCAGCCACGTACAGCAACACCATTCCCCGAGAAACTTCGTAAAATGATGACCATATTAAACTGAGGACAGGACAAAGGTAATAGCTGTACATATTGTCTAACATACAAATAAATGATAACCTCAAAGGCTAGCAAAGACACTGTAAATTAATAGTAGATGGATTGCATTTGTCAGGAAAAGCCTTTGATGAAAAAATTTCTATACTTGCCAGTAAAGAACCACACAGAGCATATGGTTCACTGAAACAAGACAGAATTTTTTTTAAAAAAATCAAACCGTAAGTAATCTGTGAAATTACTAACATTTAGAGTTTTTTCACAGATTAACATAACATGAAAATTAGTTAAAAGAAAAGCTCTGAAATTCACTGTAAAGTTTAAGTTTGTACTTAATTTCTAATAGAGTAGAACGCTCTCGTACTAAGAGGGTCATGTAGATTTTTCTAGAAGTATCATTTATTTGAATAGCTTTGACCATTTAGATACATTTAAAGTATTTTATTTATTATAAGGAAAGTGAATGGCTTTTTAAAGGGGATTCTTGGCTATCTTTACAAAAAATAATTTTGGTAAAAATAGTACACAGTGAGATTGCAGGAATCAAGAAGTGTTAGTCATGCCTTGTTTACCTTGCATTTCTCTTGCTTCACTTGCACTTTCTGCTTTCATGTTATTGAAAAACACAGGGCTTTCTGGCCGTTAAGTTCTCAGGGTCCATTCTTGATTCTACGTTGGTTCTCTTTATATTCCTTTCTTCCCTGCTGTACAGGCCTTAGGGCTGTAGCCTCCTTTACAATCCTCCTTCATTAGAGAAGATGGTGACACTGCCTGGCCCTAGATGGTGACATCTTCTCTATTGCTTGCTGGCCTTTGGCTAAATCTGGGTATGTAACAGGGAAGATAGGGTCTCTCCACCTCCCCACTTCCTTGCTGCCCTGAAAACAAGTACATTAGACACTTTTCATTTAAGTTTTACTGTTATTTATTGTGAGGGAGTCTTGAAAATAATAATCAGACTAAGAGAATTATAAAATTAAAGGGAACTTTCAACACTTTAATGCATGTTATCACCTCACAATTTCTGATATGGCTAGCAGGCCTAGAAACGCTGATGGATTCCTGTTTTGTTCTTTTATTTTGGTGGCAGATTTTATGTGTTTCTAGCCTTCCCGTGTCTAAGCTTAAAAATCCCTTTCTCTATGAAGGCCTGCCACTCCAGGATGTAGGCCTAAAGACACAGAACAACAGGGGTAAATCAGAGCCAGTGTGAGGGCACCTGTCTCAGGGCTTTCCATTCTTCCCTCCTTTTTCAATGGCCTCACAACTCACCATAGGACAGGTTCCCCTATGATATTACCACACCTGGAAGCTTTCTTTGAATAGCCATGTTTCCTGGATGACTTGGGGATAATATAAAACATAAAAAATCTAGAATGAGCAAATGTTAGTTTTTATTATTGCAAAATGCCTACTGCATCTGAGACAAAGGTTATGGGTGTCCTTATTTTAGCCTAAGGTGCTTACTTCATCAAAGTTAATATGTAAGTCACTAAAATACTCTTTCTCATCCAACCTTTCAAACTTCTCCAAGTTTTATATCCATCCTGCCCCCACATCATAACCACCCACATCCCATGATAAGTAGTGGAGGCGTTATCTAGAAGCATGGGAGGGTGAACTTGGCTTTCAATGAAATCTTAGAGGCCAAGTCTTAAAGTTTTGGCATCTTATAACATGGACACATCCATGAGCATGGAAAGATTCCAGATGAGTCTAGGCTTTTATCGACACCAAAGATAATGTTAGATTCTTTATCCATGTTTAGTATCAATGTGCTAAATCAACAGCAAATTTCCATACATCCTTTGTGTCGACTAGAGGAAAAGTAAGCTCAAAAATGTTCTAAGATAAAAGCAAGTTACATTATTTTTAAATTTTTTTAAATTAAATCTTTAATTTTTAATTTTTGTGGGTACATAATAGGTGTATATATTTATGGGTTACATGAGATATTTTGATATAGGCATGTAATGCATAATAATCACATCAGGGTAAATGGGGTATCTCTCACCTCAAGCATTTATCCTTTGTGTTTCAAATGATCCAATTCTACTCTTTAATTATTTTTAAAAGTGCGACTAAATTATTTTTTACTCTAGTCACCTTGTCATACTAGCAAATACCAGGTCTTATTCATTATATCTAACTACTTTTTTGTACCCATTAACCATGCCCACCTCCAGCCAACCCCCTGCCACTACCCTTCCCAGCCTCTGGTAACCATCCTTCTACTCTTTGTCTCCATTAGCTCAATTGTTTTAAGTTTTAGCTCCCACAGATAAGTGATAACATGCAATGTTTATCTTTCTGTGCCTGGCTTATTTCATGACCTCCAGTTCCATCCATGTCATTGCAAATGACTGGATTTCATTCTTTTCTACGGCTGAATAGTACTCCATTGTGTATACATACCTCATTTTATTTATCCATTCATTGGTTGATGCGCCCTTCAAACATTGCTTCCAAATTTTGGCTATTGTGAATAGTGCTGCAATAAACATGAGAGTGCAGATCTCTCTTTGATATACTGATTTCCTTTCTTTTGGATGTATACCTAGGAGTGAAATTGCTAGATCATCTGGTAGCTCTATTTTTAGTTTTATGAGGACCTCCAGACTGTTCTCAATAGTGGTTGTACTAATTGCGTTCCCACCAACAGTGTACGAGGGTTTCCTTTTCTCCATATCCTTGTCAGCATTTGTGACTGCCCGTCTTTTGGATAAAAGCCATTTTAACTGGTGTGAAATGATATTGTAGTTTTGATATGCATTTCTCTGATGATCAATAACATTAAACACCTTTTCACGCCATTTGTATGTCTTCTTTTGAGAAATGTCTATTCATATCTTTTGTGCACAACCCCCCCGCCACTTCACTTTTTGTTGAGACAGGGTCTCACTCTGTCGCCCAGGCTGGAGTGTAGTGGCATGATCACAGCTCACTGCAGCCTCGACCTCTCAGGCTCCAGTGAGCCTCCCACCTCAGCCTCCTGAATAGCTGGGACTACAGGCGTGCACCACCACACCTGGCTACTTTTTGTGTTTTTTGTAGAGATGGGGTTTTGCCATGTTGCCCAGGGTGGTCTCAAACTCCTGGGCTCAAAAGATGCACTTGCCTTGGTCTCCTAAATTTCTGGGATTATAGGTGTGAGCCACACTGCCTGGCCTCTTTTGCCTTTTTTTTTGTTTTTTTTTTTTGAGATGGAGTCTCACTCTGTTGCCAGGCTGGAGTGCAGTGGCGTGATCTTGGCTCACTGCAACCTCAGCCTCCTGGGTTCAAGAAATCCCCCTGCTTCAGCCACCCTAGTAGCTGAGACTACAGGTGCATGCCACCAAGTGCAGCTAATTTTTTGTATTTTTAGTAGATACAGAATTTCACCATGTTGGTCAGGATGGTTTCGATCTCTTGACCTCGTGACCCACTTGCCTCGGCATCCCAAAGTGCTGGAATTACAGACATGAGGCACTGTGCCCAGCCTGACTATTTTTAAAATCAGATTATTCTATTTTTTTTCCTATAGAGTTGTTTTAGCTTCTAACATATTCTGGTTATTAATCCCTTGTCAGATGGGTAGTTAGTAAATATTTTCTTCCATTCCATAGGTTGTCTCTTCACTTTGTTGACTGTTTCCTTTGCTGTGCAGTAGTTTTTTAACTTATATGATCTCATTTGTCTATTTTTGTTTTGGTTGCCTGTGCCTGCCAGGCATTACTTAAGAAATCTTTGCCCACTCCAATGTCCTGGAGAGTTTCCCCAATGTTTTCTTTAAACAGTTTCATAGTCTGAGCTCTTAGTTTTTTTGAGATGGAGTCTCACTCTGTCACCCAGGCTGGAGTGCGATCTCGACTCACTGCAACCTCCACCTCCCAGGTTCAAGCAATTATCCTGCCTCAGCCTCCTGAGTAGCTGGGACTACAGGCACCCGCCACCACACCCGGCTAATTTTTTATTTTATTTTATTTTATTTGTATTTTTAGTAGAGGCAGGGTTTCACCATGTTAGCCACGATGGCCTTGATCTCCTGACCTTGTGTTCTGCCGGCCTCAGCCTCCCAAAGTGCTGGGATTACAGTTGTGAGCCACTGCACCTGGCTGAGCTCTTAGATTTAAGTCTTTAAAATACATTTTGATTTGATTTTGGTGTAAGGTGAGAGATACAGGTCTAGTTTCTTTCTTCTGCATATGGATATCCAGTTTCCCCAGCACCATTTATTGAAGAGTCTGTCCTTTCCCCAATGTATGTTCTTGACACCTTTGTCGAAAATGAGTTCACTGTAGATGTATGGATTTATTATGGCTTCTCTGTTATATTCTACTGGTGTATGTGTCTATTTTTGTGCCAATACCATGTAGTTATGATTACTACAGCTCTGTAGTGTAATTTGAAGTCAGGTAATGTGATTCCTCCAGTTTTGTTCTTTCTGCTCAGGATAGCTTTGGCTATTCTGGGTCTTTTGTGGTTCCATATAAATTTTAGGATTTTTTTTTCTATTTCTGTGGAAAATGTTATTGATATTCAATAGCGATTGCATTAAATCTGTAGATTGCTTCAGGTAGTATGGACATTTTAACAATATTGATTCTTCCAATCCATGAACATGGAATATCTTTCCATTTTTTTGGTGTGTCCTCTTCAATTTCTTGCATCAATGTCTTATAGTTTTCATTGTAGAGATCTTTCACTTTTTTGGTTGATTGCTAGGTATTTTATTTGTAGCTATTGTAAATGAGATTATTTTCTTGATTTCTTTTTCATTTTGTTTGCTGTTGGCATATAAAATGCTACTGATATTTGTATGTTGATTTTGTATCCTGCAACTTTACCAAATTTGTTTATCAGTTCTAATAGATTTTGGTGGAGTCTAGTTTTTTCCAAGTATTAGATCATATCATCTGAAACAAGGATAATTTGACTTCTTCCCTTCCAGTATGGATGCTCTTTATTTCTCTTGTCTGATTGCTCTAGCTAGGACTTCCAGTACTATGTTGAATAACAGTGGTGACAGTGGGCATCCTTGTGGTGTTCCAGATCTTAGAGGAAAGACCTTCAATTTTTCCCCATTCAGTATGATACTAGCTATGGATCTATCATACATAGCTTTTATTATGTTGAGGTACATACCTCCTATCCCCAGTTTTTTGAGAGTTTTTATCATGAAGGGATGTTGAATTGTATCAAATGCTTTTTCAGCATCAATTGAAATGATCATATTATTTTTATCCTTCATTCTGCTGATATGATATACTGCATTGATTGATTTGCATATGTTGAACCATTCCTTGCATCCTTGCAATAAATCCCATTTGGTCATGATGAATGATCTTTTTAATGTGTGTTTGAATTCAGTTTGCTAGTATTTTGTTGGGAATTTTTGCATCAATTTTCATCAGTGATATTGGCTTGTAGTTTTCTTTTCTTTCTTTCTTTCTTTTTTTTTTCTTTTGCTTTTTTGAAATGGAATCTTGCTCTGTCGCCCAGGCTAGAGTGCAGTGGCATGATCTCGGCTTACTGCAACCTCCGCATCCTGGGTTCAAGCGATTCTCCTGCCTCAGCCTCCCGAGTAGCTGGGATTACAGGCTCCCGCCACCTCACCTGGCTAATTTTTGTATTTTTTGTAGAGACGGGATTTCACCATCTTGGCCAGGCTGCTCTGGAACTCCTGACCTCGTGACCCACCTGCCTTAGCCTTCCAAAGTGCTGGGATTATAGGCGTGAGCCCCTGCACCCGGACTTTTTCTTTTCTTTTTTCAAATGTGTATTTGTCTGGTTTTGATATCAGGGCAATACTGGCCTCATAGATTGATTGTGGAAGTACTCCCTTCTCCTCTATTTTTCGGAATAGTTTGAGTAGGATTTGTATTTGTCCTTTAAATGTTTGATAGACTTCAGCAGTGAAGGCTTCAGGCCCCGATCTTTTGTTTGCTGGAGGACTTTTTATTATGGCTTCAATCTTGTTATTTGTTATTGGTCTGTTCAGGGTTTGGATTTCTTCTTGGTTCAATCTTGGTAGGTTGTATGTGTCTAGGAAATTATCCATTTTTTCTAGATTTTCCAATTTATTGTCATATAGTTGCTTATAGTAGTCACTAATAATCCTTTGAATTTCTGCAGTATCATTTGGTAATGTCTCCTTTTTCATCTCTGATTTTATTTATTTGGGTCTTCTCTCTTTTTTCTTACTCTGCTAATGTTTGTCAATTTTGCTTAACTTTTCAAAAAATCAACTTTTTGTTTCATTTATCTTTTTTTTTTGAGATAGAGCCTTGCTCCATCACCCATGCTGGAGTGCAGTGGCGTGATCCTGGCTCACTGCAACCTCCACCTCCCAGGTTCAAGCAATTCTCCTGCCTCAGTCTTCCCAGTAGCTGGGACTACAGGCGCAAGCCATCACACCCGGTTAATTTTTGCGTTTTTAATAGAGAAGGGGTTTTTCCATGTTGACCAGGCTGGTCTCAAATTTCTGAGGTAATCCACCCGCTTCAGCCTCCCAAAATGCTGGGATTACAGGCATGAGCCACTGTGCCCATCTTTGCTTCATTGATCTTTTGTACTGTTTTCTTCATTCCAATTTTATTTATTTATGCTCTGATCTTTATTATTTCTTTTCTTCGACTAATTTTGGGTTTGGTTTGCTCTTGTTTTTCCAGTTATTTAAGACGCATCACTAGCTTGTTTATTTGAAGTTTTTCTTCTTTTCTGATGTGGGCAGTTATAGCTATAAACTTTCCTCTTAGTACTGCTTTTGCTGTATTCCATAGATTTTGGAATGTTGTACTTCCATTATTATTTGTTTCAAGAAATGTTTAAATTTCTTTCTTAGTTTCTTTATTGGCCCACCAATTTTTCAGGAGAGCATTGTTTAATTTCCATGTGTTTGTACAGTTTCTAAAATTCCTCTTATTATTGATTTTATTCCATTGTGGTCGGAGAAGATGCTTGATACTATTTTAAATTTTTTAAAGACTTGTTTTATAACCGAACATATGGTCTATCCTTGAGAATGATCCATGTGCTGAGGAAAAGAATGTGTATTCTGCAGCCGTTGGATGAAATGTTCTGTAAATATCTATTAGGTCCATTTAGCCTATGGTGCAGATTAAGTCTGATGTTTCTTTGTTGATTTTCTGTCTGAAAGATCTGTCTGATGCTGAAAGTAGGGTGTTGAAGTCTCCAGCTATTGTTGTATTTCGATCTGTCTGTCTCGTTAGCTCTAGTAATATTTGCTTTATATATCCGGGTGCGTGCTCTAGTGTTGGGTATGTATTTATTTACAATTGTTTTAGCCTCCTGCTGAATTTACCCCTTTATCATTATATAGTGATCTTCTTTGTCTCTTCTTATGGTATCTGTCTTGAAATCTGTTTTGTCTGATATAAATATAGCTAATCCTGCTCTTTTTCTGGCTTTCATTAGCTTGGAATATCTTTTTTTATCCCTTCATTTTCAGCCTATGTGTGTCTTTATAGATGAAACGTGTTTTTTGCAGGCCAAGTTACAATAATATCCTGTTGAATAAGTAAGATACTGATAGCTACATTATATATATTTCTATTTATTACTGGCTCTATTAGTAAATAATTGAAAAGCAAATATGAATATCAAGGCATCGTAAAGGCAGAAACTCAAAGAAGCAGCTCCCCCAAACCTTGCCCCCAGAGGTCTGAGGGAACAAAAGGAATATGTTGGAATTAATAAAACTTGGAAATTTGAAGGTGGGAATTTGTGGGGCCAGGCCAGACATCTTAGGAGGGGGTTGCCACAGCTATTGCTGGAGTCTTGGAGGAGGCTGGAGGAGACTGGTTCTGCAAGTGTTGGAATAGCTACGCACTGGAATCAGCAGCTGCCACTGGAACTCACTGCGGTAGGAACTGGAAGCAGGTAGGAGCAAGTCTCCTCTCTCTGTTCTGGCAATGCAGTCTCTCTGTCTAGTGCCATCTATTGACAGACATGACATAGAGCAGCTGGCAAAGCAGAAAGGCGATTTGAGATTTTTGTGCTGAAGCACCATAAAGCCGAATATGGAAGGGTGGATTTGAAACAGACACGTTTGATAATTGAAACAAGAAGCATTAAAATCTTGTGGAGCATATTTAGTGGGTAGGATGGTGAAGGGACAATAAAAGATGACAGAATCAGGTTGGTAAGTGTCAGAGAAGGACACAGGAAGTTTTAAACAGTGTCAAGGGTTATGACTGAAGAAAGATCTTTGTTTTATGGTTGAGATTTGGCTGAGAGTGTTTACAGAGTCACTGAAACAGATGCTAGGGTATAATCAAGTAGATGCAGTACTTATTGACTACTCTTTCAAAACTTTGGAAACAGGAGGAAGGAGGGAGATGAAAGAATAACCTGAAAAAGCACGGTTAAAAAAAGTGATTTTTATTCGAATAGGGGAAAGAGAACTGATAAGGCATTTCCTTAATAAAGAAGAGATGCTCTTTTATAATTAAGGAAAACAATGGGTGAAGTTATGTGGAAAACAAGAAAGTAGAAAGAGTGTTTGTAGGATAATTGTAACCAAATCATAAGGTAAATGATAAAGTGTTCTGCTGAGAATGAATGTGGCTGGTGTGGGATTGGAACCCAGGAGAGTGAAGCTGATTCACAACACTTCATGTGTAGAATTTAATAGGGACAGAAACATTTCACACCAGAGACTGTAAGAATCTAACAAAATGGTTTGAGAAAACATCTGAGCCAAAGTCAGGAATAAGAATTATAAACCCCTTGATGCATGTGTATGTTTGTCTCCAGTTTTGTCTTTGTAGCCCATAGTTTTCCAATTGCAGTATTATTGACATTTTGGGCCAGATAATTCATTATTTGTGGTGTGAGCCCATTGTGTGCATTGTAGGATGTTTAGCTGCATCCCTGGCCTCTACTCATTAAATCCAAGTAGGAACGCCCTCCCACTCCCCGACCCCCACACTAACCTGGCAATCAAAAATGTCCCCAAACATTGTCAGATGTGCTGTGGAGGAAAAACTACCCTTGGTTGAGAACGACTGCTCCAACACCACGAAAATGGTCAAGGCTTTGCCGATTTCTTTGCTCCCAGCACAGTTCTATCTCTAAGCAAAGCTCATATTCTCAGTCTCTTGCCCTTCTTTGGAATCTTGGCACCACCTGGCCCTAGTTGGTTGAGCACTTCTTAGGTTTACTAGTACTCCTTTGTGGGAGTTTTTATTTCTGCTGAAACATATCCCCTTTGATATGGTTTGGTTCTGTGTCCCCACCCAAATCTCATGTTGAATTGCAAAGTGAGAGGTGATTGAATCATGGGGGTGGACCTCCCCCTTGCTGTTCTCATGATAGAGTTTCCACAAGATCTGGTTGTTTGAAACTGTGCAGCACTTCCCCCTTCACTCTTTCTCTCTCCCTTGCCACCATGTGAAGATGTGCTTGCTCCCCCTTCTCCTTCAGCCACGACTGTAGGTTTCATGAGGCCTCACCAGCCATGTGGAACTGTAAGCCTATTAAACCTTTTTTCTTCATAAATCACCCAGTCTCAGGTAGTTCTTTATAGCTGTGTGAGAATGGACTAATACACCCTAATATCCAGAAACAGAATTTCAAAGAACTTTTTAAAGTTATTCATTTCTTTAGTTCTCCTTTTTTTTAAAGTCTAACTGAGGGGTTAACAAACTGAAACTTAGGGGCCAAATATAGCTGTTACCTCTTTTTGAAATAACGTTTTATTGCAATACATTCACACCCATTCATTCACATATTGCTTATGGCAACTTTTGCACTAAGACCACAGAATAGTTTCCACAGAGACCATATGACCCCTGGGCCATAGTTTGCGAACGTTTGCTCTAGACCTTAAACACTTTAAAAGAACCAAGAGTTTGCATCTACAGTATCTAATATATTGACTTCATATTTAACTTTTCTCAGATTTACCTAAAAATATATATTGAACTTAATTGTTTTCTTTCAAATAACTAGATGCAATGAAAGATCTTACTGTATCTGCCTGTATTATTGTGTATTGGGTGAGCCAAATGCTGTGGTTAAAGAATAATGCCAAAGGGTTTAGTTTTACCATTATAGAGATAATTCCTTGTGGTTCCTATTAGTTTCTTTCTTTTTTTTTTTTTTCAGTCTTAGACTGCCTCTGTAACCTTTACTACCCTGTTGCAAAAGTGTAATTATTTGTTACAAAGAGAATAGGACATAGTGAATGAATGCTTCGGTACAAATCAGTCATGCCTACCGATTTAAAAAATCAGTGTATTTATTAAAAGTGGTTACTTACTCATCTTTCCTCATGTATTTTTTTTACATTAAACACATTACATGTTGTTTGACCTTCTTCTGAAAAAATTATATGCCAGGAGTTCCTTGGTCAAAACAATTTTCTCAAAAAACCTAGTTTGTTTTTCAAATGAACACTATTCTTAGTAGAAAGCATGCCTCTGCTTTAGATCTAAAGCAAAGTATCTTGCATCATTCCAACATCTGGATTTCATTTATTATTAAGGCAGGATAAGATGAATTCGGAAAAAATGAAGTAAAATCAGTTTCAATGATCATTATCTGATTGTGTTTTTGGACTGAACATTTCCCTACAGTCAGTCTCTGTCATGTTTAACTTTGAATAAAAACATGTACTTCATAGGAAAAAAAGTTGCAGTGACCTAATCTACTCCTCCCCTCCTTTCATTTAAAAAAAAAAAAAAAACTACGTATTTAATGAAAAATATTGGAGTAAGAGACAAAATCTTATTTAAATTTTTTTGTGCAATGGTTCTGTTGAATTTTACATATTAAAAAAAATTAGATGCTCTTGTAAAACATTTTATTTCTCCAAAACTGTAACACACCTGGTCTAGATTTTATTGTTTTTCAAACTGATTTTCTAAATTTGGGTGATTATTGGATTTTTTAAAATGCATTCATGAATGATATACATAAGAAACAACGTATCTCACATATTTCACCTGTGAATTAAATTTTCTTATAATAATAACATTACATTTTAAAATTGTCAATTTGTGCAAATTTTCATGTAGGTTAATGGATGCCTTTCAAAAAATTTTTACTTTTTTTGAAATTTTACAGATATTTGGCAGAACAGATTACTTTTTCAAACATCACATCAATGTTTTGATAAAGAAATCTGCCTTTTATTTAAAAAGAGAAAGGATTTTTGAAAGACATTTTAAATCATTTAAGAGAAGGAATTTTTCATATATGATGGCCTTATTCCCAATAATCTTAATTATTACTAGTATCAACATGAAAAAGGAATAAAAAGATAGTAATAGGAAGAGTGTAACTAGAAATAATGAAATGAGATCTGGAAGTTGTACTTCGAATGACAGGCAAATTTTTCCTTTTAGATGCTGGCGTAATTACCCAAGTTAGAAAGAAGGAAAATGGAAGGAAATACTTTATTTAAGGCCAGATTTGTCAAAGTGCTAGAAAACAAACTACAGGAAAATACCCTGAATATGTTGCTAGGAAAATGGCCTAAGTGACCTCCTTTTACCTTTTCCTATGTGCCACTGATGTGGACAGAGGGGCTTAAGAGTCTGGCTTGCTTTCCCACTGATTCCAGCATGACCGCAGGAGATGTGCTTGCCTGGCTGCCTGTTGTCGTCTATTCCCAGAAAGTTTAGCAAATGACACATGGTGGGGCTGAATGTTTATAATCACTGTAGGATTGCAAAAAGAAAATTATTATTATTATTATTTTTGAGACAGAGTTTCGCTCTTGTTGCCCAGGCTGGAGTGCAATGGCGCTCACGGCAACCTCCACCTCCCAGGTTCAAGCAATTCTCCTACCTCAACCTCCCAAGTAGCTGGGATTACAGGCACGCGCCACCACACCTGGCTTATTTTTTGTAATTTTAGTAGAGTCGGGGTTTCTCTATGTTGGTCAGGCTGGTCTCAAACTCTTCACCTCAGGTGATCCTGCCTTGGCCTCCCAAAGTGCTGGGATTACATGAGCCACTGCACCCAGCCTAAGAAAATTATTGTTAGAAGTGTAAGAATTATTGTTTTTTTGTCACTCTACTTGTTAGTCAATAAACGTTGAAATCTGGAAATATAAAATTTAAACCAGATTTAATATGTTCATTTAAGCCTACATTTAGTGTTTCCATTTAACTGAATTTGATTCTATGCAATTTCATTTCATGCATATTCACTGAAGGGCCATGATTGCATTCAGTTAACTCAAAGCCTGGGGCCTATAGAATTGGTTGACTGGCCGTGTTGGAAGTTCAAGAGATTCCTCTACTTGAAGGGCAGGAAAAAAAACTCCCAAGTTCCTATCTGGTTTAGCAATTTCATTAAGCCTGGATATACAATACAGTGGAAAAAACTTACAACTGGGAGATAGGACAGCTGATTTGTCAGCAAATATTTTTGAGCTCCTGGTGGGTTTCAGGCACCATTCTAAATGCTGGGGATTAAGAGAGCTGAAATGAAATCTCAGCCACGGTTACCTTGCTCATTTCATAATTCTATTCAAAGGTATGATGATGTTTCTACAAATTGATGGTTCTGTGAGAAACCTATGAGTGAATGAGAAACCATTCTGAGTCAAAAAGTGACATCACTACAAATAACCACAACAATAACAACAGAAATAAATGGAATACCTCCAGTATTTCAGCACGGTGTGAGCATTGACTTTCCTGATCTATTGGCAGACTCAGGCCTAATTCCAAAGCCTGCTACAGAGTTGGGAGGAGTAATGAAATCTGGTCAGCTGAACACTTACTCTTCAAACTCAGTGGTTGCTGTTTTACTCTGCCTGCTCAGTGCCTGTTGGCTGCCTTGTAATAATTAGCAATTTTCTAGGAAATTCCTCACTTTTGCAGGAAGCCTGCTGCACTAGCCCACAAGGAAAAGTCATTTCCTTCCAGAAACTCTCAGCTGTTAGCTTGGGATCCTTCCCCCTTCAGAGGCAGCTTTGTTTCTATCCAGAGAGGACCATTTGAGACAGCAAAGGGAGGGTTTAAGGAAAGATTTATTAAGCAGTTGTTATATGTCAGGCAGTTGTTTAAAAAGCAGATGTTCCACATTTTCTTTATCCAGTCTATCGCTGATGGGCATTTGGGTTGTTCCAAGTCTTTGCTATTGTGAGTAGTGCTGCAATGAACATACACATGCATGTGTCTTTATAGTAGAATGATTTATATTCCTTTGTGTATATACCCAGTAATGGGATTGCTGGGTCAAATGGCATTTCTGGCTCTAGATCTCTGAGGAATTGCCACACTTTCTTCCACAATGGTTGAACTAATTTACATTTCCACCAACAGTGTGAAAGCATTCTTATTTCTCCACAGCCTTACCAGCATCTGTTGTTTCTCGACTTTTTAATAATCACCATTCTGGCTGTAGGGGGTATGGGGGAGGGAGAGCATCAGGATAAATAGCTAATGCATGCAGGTCTTAATACCTAGGTGGTGGGTTGATAGGTGCAGCAAACCACCATGGCACATATTTACTCATGTAACAAAACTGCACATCCTGCATATGTATCCCAAAACTTAAAATAAAATTTTTTTAAAAAGCAGATGTTTAAAAAATCTTATTTATCACTCACAGCAAGCTCAAAAGAGGAGAATATCAAGGTTCAGAAAGACAAGTGACACCCAAGACTGCAGAAATCAGCAGCAGAGCTAGGGTTTGAATTCATGCCAAGCCTTGGCTCTCATACCTACCTGTCCTATCTCTGTAAAGAATGTATACCCAGCACCTTGTTTGGTCAAAATATTTTTATGATTTAAATTTATAACAACCCCTAACAGTGCATCAACACCAAACAGGTCAAATGTCACCTCCACATGACAGATAGCTTTCCTTGGAGTAGCCAACCTTCCTCTACCACATCCCTCCCCACACCTTCGTATCTTTATTTTTCTTTTCTTTATTTCTTTTTTTTTTTGGATGAAGTTTTGCTCTGTTGCCCAAAGTGCTGGAATTACAGGAGTGACTCCATAGTGCCCAGCCTCTTTTCTTTTTTTTTTAAAGAATTGTTTCCAGATCCTGCACATATCACATCTTTATTTTTCTTCATAGCATTTGCCACCATGTGACAAAACATAGGGTTATTTGTATTTCTCGTCTGTTCTACCTACCGGAATATGTGCTTGTAGGAGATTTGGACCTTGTCTGACTTGTTAATTTCTATATCCCTTGTGCCTAGGACAATGCCTGAAATAAATAACAATTTTTTTTTTTTTTTGAGACAGTGTCTTGCTCTGTCACCCAGGCTGGAGTGCAGTGGCACAATCTCAGCTTACTGCAAGCTCCGCCTTCCGGGTTCACGCCATTCTCCTGCCTCAACCTCCCGAGTTGCTGGGACTACAGGCGCCTGCCACCATGCCCGGGCTAATTTGTTGTATTTTTAGTAGAGGCGGGGTTTCACATTGTTAGCCAGGATGATCTCGATCTCCTGACCTCGTAATCCGCCCGCCTTGGCCTCCCAAAGTGCTGGGATTACAGGCGTGAGCCACCGCACCTGGCCTATAATCAATTGTTAAGTGAATGACTGGGTCAAAGCAGCTTTCTGAAGGCAGAGTAGATAGCAAGCCTGTGACCTGTTGAGAGCACAGTATGGTTTAGTCTGGAAAACATCTTTCAGTGAAACAAATGTAGCAATTTGTATCATGCTTTTGCCTTAGTCAGTTAAAAGTGATTCCCAATTTAAGAAATTTGGCTCTGATATAAAGCTTCACTCAGGAATGCATTAGCATTATTTATTTTACTTATTAGGTATTTTTTTTCTTTGCGTAAATGAATGGGATACAAGTGTAATTTTATTATATGCAGATATTATGCAGTGGTGAAGTCAGGGTTTTTAAGGTATCCATCATCTGAATAACGTACATTGTACCTGTTATAGAAACGGGAGCATAGGAGAGCCAGGGTGACACTATTTTAAAATCAACTTCAACTTAAAGCAAGCAAGGCACATTCCTTGCCAGTCACAACCCGTGGTCATAAGATGTTTGTGGCTAAGAAGCAGCTTAAAAATACCTGCAAGAACAAACTCCTATGACAACAAAAAAAGTATCCAGATGCCGTGATATTGCATAACAATGCATGTTTTAAAAATGATTATAGTCATGCTTTGATGTACTTATGTATTAAAATGGCAAGAATAGTTTTTTTTAAGTTAGCAAAATAATAAATTTTGGCATGCTGTCAGCCCACCCACATGTAAAGGTAGCTTAACTTTTACGCAGATAAGACTTCTACATAAGAAAAACTTAAAGACCAGGCATTACTCCTCTTGCTTTCTGAGGACACCCTACTATGTATCTGAGTAGCTTTCAGTGAACTATCTTTCCTCATTGCACTCTGAGACACCTTGAATTCCTTCCTTCATGAGATCCAAGAACTCTCTCTTGGGATCTGGATCATACCCCTTTTTCTGGTGACATGCCCATTAAGTAATTTCTCATCATCCACACCCTCTCACCCCCTCCCCCTTTTGAGTCTCCATTATCTATCATTCCACACTTTATGTCCATGTGTACACATTATTTAGCTCCCACCTATAAGTGAGAACATGCAGTATTTGTCTTTCTGTCTGAGTTGTTTCACTTGAGATAATGGCCTCCAGTTCCATCGATGTTGCTGTAAAAGACATAATTTCACTTGTTTTTTTATGGCTCAATAGTATTCCATTGTGTGTGTGTACACACACACACATACACACATATTTTCTTTCTCCAGTCATTCCAATCATCCATAAAAGGACATTTAGGTTGATTCTATACGCTTGCTATTGTGAATAGTGCTGCAACAAACACACAGGTGCAGGTATCTTTTTGATATAATAATTTCGTTTCCTTTGGGCAGATAGTAGTGAGACTGCTGGATCAAACAGTAGTTCTAATTTTAGTTCTTTGAGAAATCTCCGTATTGTTTTCCACAGAGGTTGTACTAATTTACATTTTCACCAACAGTGTATAAGTGTTTCCTGTTCTCCACATTTTTCCAATATCTGTTATTTTTTTGTTTTTGTTTTTTTAATAGTAGCCATTCTGATTCATGTAAGATAATATCTTATTGTGGCTTTAATTTGCATTTCTCTGATTATCAGTGATGTGTAGCATTTTTCATATGCCTAGTGGCTATTTGTATGTCTTCTTTTGAAAAATGTCTATTCATACCCTTTGCCCATTTTTAAATGGGATTATTATTATTTGCTATTGTTTTTGAGTTGTGTTCCTTATAGATTCTAAATACTAGTCCTTTGTTGGATATATAGTTTGGTGATATTTTCTCCCATTCCACAGGTTGTGTGTTCGCTTTATTTATTTTACTGTGCAGAAGCTTTTTAGTTGAATTAAGTCCCATTTGTCTATTTTTGTTTTTGTTGCCTGTGCTTTTGAGGTCTCAGTCATGAATTCTTTGCCTAGCTTAATATTCAGAAGAGTTTTTTTCTAGGTTTTCTTCTGCATTTTTATAGTTTCAGGTCTTTAATTCACCTTGAGTTGATTTTCGTATATGGTAAGAGAGAGGAGCCCAGACTCATTCTTCTGCATATGGCAATCCAATTTTCCCACTGGCATTTATTAAAAAGAGTGTCCTTTTCCCACCGGCATTTATTAAAAAGAGTGTCCTTTTCCCCAGTGTATGTTCTTGTTTATTTAGTCAAAGATCAGTCAGCTATAAATATGTAGTTTTATTTCTGGGTTCTCCATTCTGTTCTATTGATCTATGTGTCTGCTTTTATACCAGTACCATGCTGTTTTGGCTACTATAGCCTTGTAGTATAATTTGAAGTCAGGTAATGTTATGTTATTAGACATTTTAAATACTACTGTTGCAACTGTTGAAATATTCATTTGACATTATAAATGTAAATGTTATTTATGTTTAACATTATTAGCTTCCAGAAGCCTAAGGGCAAAGCAGACATTTTAATTCACTTTGTAAAGCTATAAAGTAACAGATGGGATAGGAAGAATGATGTGGAAAATTAAAAGGTCAGAAGAGGGCCAAATAAATAATAATAATCTAAAGACTGTTGATTTTATCTATGGAAAAAATTACACAAATTAATCCCTGTTAAAAGGCAAAATTCTCTCCTAATTTGTGTGACATATATTTAAAAAATCAAAATAAACTGGAACTAAAACCAGTGGACACCATGTGATACAACTGTGCATCTGATATATCTGAAACTAGCCCTGTGACTGAACCATGGCTCTTTTTATAGCTGGATAAGTTTTGCCTTTTTTCCCTGCTGTGGACCTCCTTGCTGTAAGTAAACTGGGAAAGAGTAGATAGAGGCTTTGTGGGGTCTAAACTGTTACAATTCAATGGTGGTGTGGAGGGCTTTTAAGAAAAATAATACAAATTATAATTATAAAATTAAACATGAAACTGGATATTTATTTAAAATGAGAAAAAAAACAAAAATTTCAAGTTTTTTAAAAGATGAAAAATACCACAAACACACAATGCTGCAAAAATACACAAAATTCAGATACATGACTGTAGTTTTTTCCAACTTTTTGTTTAACTTTGGGGGTACATGTGCAGAATGTGCAGGTTTGTTGCATATGTAAACGTGTGCCATGGTAGTTTGCTGCACAGATCATCCCACCACCCAGGTATTAAGCCCAGCATCCATTAGCTCTTCTTCCTAATGCTCTCCCCATCTGACAGGCCCCATTGTGTGTTGTTCCCCCACCACGTGTCCATATGTTCTCATCATTCAGCTCCCACTGACAAGTGAGAACGTGCGGTATTTGGTTTTCTGTTCCTGTGTTAGTTTGCTGAGGATAATGGCTTCCA
This sequence comes from Homo sapiens, assembly GCF_000001405.40. Taxonomy (NCBI): domain Eukaryota; kingdom Metazoa; phylum Chordata; class Mammalia; order Primates; family Hominidae; genus Homo; species Homo sapiens. The sequence goes on from NC_000004.12 coordinate 118,875,156, forward strand.
GCTCCATCCATGTCCTTGCAAAGGACATGATATCATTCCTTTTTATGGCTGCATGGTATTCCATGGTGTATATGTACCACATATTCTTTATCCAGTCTATCATTGATGGGCATTTAGATTGGAATAACAGTATTTTTATTAACCATTTGACATACTTTTTTCTCTATTTTTTTGGTTGAGTACTCTCTCTGATATTTTATATGACAATAATTTTGTAATATCATATTTTACATTAACCTCTAGCATGGTTTATCAAAATTAGTTTTTTAATATTGATCATTGGATTGTACACAACATGCAACTTCCTATACAGATGTCATCACTGTAACATGGCTGCAGGTTTGTGCCCCAAAACAGGAATTCTGATAAATTATATTTCTCCTAATAGCCATAAAAATGTATCATGTGATTATGATTGTGTGTGCTTCCATTATCTAGCATGTTCCTGAAAAGGGAGTCCTTTGTATTTGACTACACCTTAATAAGAGATGAATCCTTCACTGACATTTTTTATTTTTGATGATTAGAAGCGTTTTCCAAAGACTACCTTCTGGCTCTGTACATTTCAACTTTATTTCTCCTCCACTACCCAAATACTTACAGTGTCTGCATCTTACAATGTGTTGGTGTTGTGGTAAACCTCTGCCCGTTAATGTTTCCACACTGGGTGAATTGGCACATGATAGAAGTATGACTGGAAGCTGTTCATTTCTTCAATGGGCAGTGGCAATAACTTTACATGAATGCAATTAAACCACATACATATATTCCACTAAACCCAAACTGAACAAATCCTCAACTCATCTTCCGTTTAGCTTGGATTCCAAAATTGCTCACGGCTACTCCAGTACCATGAGAAGGGGAAGTTAGAGTTGACAAAAATCTTAACCAAATTTGGTTTAAGTATTTTACTTTGGCAGATTTTACAAAGGCATATGAACATGTGAGCACATGCTGGGGTCCTTCAGATTCTTGAAGGGATTCTGAAAGTGAGGGTCCAAGAGGCTCAGCTTCGTCAACGTTGTATTAAATTGTTCTCTGGTAATAGGGAGGAATCCACCACACTTCAATTGCACTAGTCTTCATCTGTTCTTCATGTTGACAAAGCATGTTTTTGCCCTGCCTCCCACTCTTCCTGCTTTTCAAGTAACTGTCTCCTTGTCAGTTTGTGTCTCAGCTATTTGTGTCTCAGCTCAGGGAGGGGTTTTTGATCACCTTATGTGTTGCATCACTCCCATCGCGCTCTGCCATATCACCCTGCTTTATTTCTTTGTTAACCCTCATTTCCCTCTGAAACTCTTTTGTTTACTTATGTATTGTCTGGCTTCTCCAGTAAAATGTAGTCTCCAAGATGCCAAGGAGGCATCTTTCCTTTGTGGCTCATAGGTAGGTCACCTGAACTTAGAACAACACACAGCATTTATTTGTTCAGATACTTTTCCTTCCCTCCCTCCCTCCTCCTTCTTTTCTCTTTTCTTTCTTCCTTCCTTTCTTCCTTCCTTCCTTCCTTTCTCTTTCTTTCTTTCTTTCTTTCTTTCTTTCTTTCTTTCTTTCTTTCTTTCTTTCTTTCTTTCTTTCTTTCTGCCTTTCTCTGTCTCTCTCTCTCTTTCCCTTTCCTTCCCTTTTCTTTTTTTTTCTTTCTTCCTTCTTTTTGTTTGAGACAGGGTCTTGTTCTGTTGCACTGGAGTGCAGTGGCATAATCATGATTCACTGCAACGTTGACCTCCCAGCCTGAAGCAATCCTTCAACCTCAGCCTCCTGAGTAGCTGGGACTATAGGTACATGCCACTATGCTCACTCTGCCCATCTAATTAAATTTTTTTTTTTTCTTGTAGAGACAAGGTCTCCCTATGTTGCCTAGGCTGGTCTTAAAATCCTGGGTCCAAGCGACCCTCCTGCCTCAGCCTCCAAAAATGCTGGGATTGCAGGGAGCCACTGCACCTGGCCTTCAGATGCTTTTCAAATGAATGAATGAACTATAAACTTAAAAGCACATAAATGTGTTTTCAGTTTGCTCAAGAATCTTATTTTACCCCTTCCTTACACCATAAACAAAAATCAACTCAAGATGGATTAAATATCAAACCTGAAACTATAAAAACCCTGGAAGATAACCTAGGAAATACCTTTCTGGATATAGGACCAGGCAAATTTCATGAGGAAGACACCAAAAGCAATTTTTACAAAAACAGAAATTGACAAACGGGACCCAAATAAACTAAAGAGCTTTTGCACAGCAAAAGAAACTATTAAAAGAGTAAACAGACAACCTACAGAATGGGAGAAAATATTTGCAAACTATGCATCTGACAAAGGTCTAATAAGAATCTATAAGGAACTTAAACAAATTTACAAGCAAAAACTGAACCCCATTAAAAAGTGGGCAGAGGACGTGAACAAGCACTTTTCAAAAGAAGACATATACGCGGCCAACAAGCATATGAAAAGAAGATCAACATCACTGATCATTACAGACATGCAAATCAGCACCACAATGAGATACTATCTCACACCAGTCAGAATGGCTATTATTAAAAAGTCAAAAAATAACAGATCCTGGTGAGGTTGTGGAGAAAAGGGAACACTTACACACTGCTGGTGGGAGTGTAAATTAGTCCAGACAATATGAAAAGCAGGGTGGCAATGCCTCAAAAAACTTAAAACAGAATTACCATTCAGCTCAGCAATTCCATTATTGGGTATATACCCAAAGGAATATAAATTGTTCTACCATAAAGATGATACATGCATGTGAATGTTCGTTGCAGCACTATTCACGATAGCAAAGACTTGGAATCAATCTAAATGCCCGTCAACATTAGACTGGTTTAAAAAATATGGTACATATAGAAAAAGGAATACTATGCAGCCATAAAAAGAATGAGATTATGTCGTTTGCAGCAACATGGATGGAGTTGGAGGCCATTATCCTCAGCAAACCACACAGGAACAGAAAACCAAGTATCGCATGTTCTCGTTTATAAGTGGGAGCTAAACTTTGAGTACATATTGACACAAAAAGGGAAACAATAGACATCAGGGCCTACTTGAGGGTGGAGGGTAGGTGAAGGGTGAGGATTGAAAAACCACCTATGCACTATGCTTATTACCTGGGTGACAAAATAATCTGTGCACAAATCCCTATGATACGCAATTTACCTGTAAAACAAACTTGCACATGTACCCCTGAACCTAAAATAAAAGTTAAAAAATAAATAAGATGAAATAAAACAAAAAGAATATTATTTTATCACTTAAATCAATTTACTTCAACCCTAGTTCTCCATCTCACTGAGTTGGTGGAAGGGAGAGGTGAAGCCAGCTGGGCTTCTGGGTCAGATGGGGACTTGGAGAAATTTTCCATCTACCTAAAGGATTGTAAACGCACCAATCCGCGCTCTGTGTCTAGCTAAAGGTTTGTAAACGCACCAATCACCACTCTGTAAAAACGCACCAATCAGCGCTCTGTGTCTAGCTAAAGGTTTATAAACGCACCAATCAGCACTCTGTAAAAACGCACCAATCAGTGCTCTGTGTCTAGCTAAAGGTATGTAAACACACCAATCAGCACTCTGTAAAAACGCACCAATCAGCACTCTGTAAAATGAACCAATCAGCACTCTGCAAAATGGACCAATCAGCAGGACATGGGTGGGGCCAAATAAGGGAATAAAAGCTGGCCACCCCAGCCAGCAGAGGCACCCACTCAGGTCCTTTTCTGTCTTGTGGATGTTTTGTTCTTTCTCTCTCTGCAGTAAATCCTACTGCTGTTCAGTTTTTGGGTCCGCACTACCTCTAAGAGCTGTAACACTCACTGCGAAGGTCTGTGGCTTCACTCCTGAAGTCAGCGAGACCATGAACCCACAGGGAGGAATGAACAACTCCGGAGGCACCACCTTTAAGAGCTGTAACACTCACTGTTAAGGTGTGCCACTTCACTCCTGAAGTGAACAAGACCACAGAACTCGCCAGAAGGAAGAAACTCCCGACACATCTGAACATCTGAAGGAACAAACTCTGCACACACCATCTTTAAGAACGGTAACACTCACCGATAAGGGTCCGTGGCTTCATTGTTGAAGTCAGGGAGACCATGAACCCACTGGAATGAACCAATTCTGAACACAGAAGTGCCAATTCAGAGAGGGTTAGAGCTTCCTTTTCCCTAGGCTCTGGGGAACTGAACGTTTTTGTCTCCCCTGAAATTCATATGTTGAATCCTAAATCCCCAGTGTATATTTGGAAGTGGGGCTGTGCGAAGGTAATTAGCTCATGAGGATAGAGCCCTTGTGAATGGATTAGTGCCCCTGTAAGACGAGAGACACAAGAGAGATGATCTTTCTCTATGTGAGGACACAATGAGAAGACAGTCATCTACAAACCAGGAAGAGGGCACTCAGCAGACAGTGGACCTAGCAGCCCTTTGATCTTAGACTTCCCAGCTGCCAGACCTGTGGGAAACACATTTTTGTGGTTTAAATCGCCCAGCGTATGATACTGTGTTATGGCAGTCCAAAGAGACTAAAACACGAGGGGCTGCAAAGGTCTTGGGGTTCAACAGAGCAGCTGGTCATCAATCATTTGCCTTCACTGGTCACTGAACTGTCCGTGGTCTTGGCCAGCAGTCAGGTACGTAACTGCAACTTTTGTGACATGCGTGTGGCTGAAGAATGTTGGCGGGGTTGGCAGCCCTGCCCTTGATGTCCCGCCTCCCTCCGAGACCCTGCAACCGTTTGCCTCTGAGGCCTGTTGCCTGTCAGCAGCATGGAGGTCTGCACTACTTTAGAGACCCAGGAGCAGCAGATCATCCCTGTCAGGACAGAATCCCTCCTTATTTCTCTCAACGGTGCTCCCCTTTCTTTCCTCTCCCTCTGAGACCCCTTGCATCATCATTTCGTGAAGGTTAGGCTTTACAAAACTGGGAATCACTGTTACCACCTTCTTTTCCTGCTCAGCAAAAGTCCCTGAGGTAAGGAAATTGTAAGGGTCTGGCTACTTGCTCGGAATAAGAAGAAGGAGAAAATCTGAAGGACCAACAAAACAATCAAAATGTGAAAAATTATTCTGTCTGGTCATTTTATATACTTTGTGCATTGGGAAGAAACTAATAAGCAGTTAGGCTATCTGTATGCTGTGCATTCTTGTTATGGGGGGAATTATGTCCCTCCAAGTTCATATGTTGAAGACCTAATCTCCAGTACCTCAAAGCTCCAGATTTTAACACTGATTTTGGGGGGTATAATTTAGTGGCAGTTCCAAATAATCATGATCCATGAAAAAGATGATTTTGTTCATTTCAAATCATAGAAGGTGGCTGGGCACAGTGGCTCATGCCTGTAATCCCAGCACTTTGGGAGGCTGAGGCAGTTGGATCACGAGGTCAGGAGTTCAAGACCAGCCTGGCCAAGATGGTGAAACCCCATCTTTACTAAAAATACAAAAATTAGCTGGGCGTGGTGGCTGTTGCCTGTAATCCCAGCTACTTGGGCGGCTGAGGCAGGAAATTGCTTGAACCCCGGAGGTGGAGGTTACAGTGAGCTGAGATCACGCCACTGCACTCCAGCCTGGGCGACAGAGCGAGACTCTGTCCCAAAAAAAAAAAAAAAAAATTATGCAAGCTACTATTTAAATTTTATTTTCAGTAATTCATTGACATTACATTTTTCCCTAAAAATTATCTTCACTCTTTCTGATGTTTCAGGTAATTCAGTATTACTTAAAATGTAAAACATGCAATATTTATTAGTAAAACAGAACATGACTGTGTTTGTGAAAGGATCTTTAAAGAGATAATTAAATTAAAATGAGGTCTTTAGGGTGGGCCCTAATCCAATATGACTGGTGTTCCTATACGAAGAGGTTAAGGGCCGAACGTGGTGGCTCATGCCTGTAATCCCAGCACTTTGGGAGGCCTAGGTGGGCGGATCACAAGGTCAGGAGATCCAGACCATCCTGGCTAACACGGTGAAACCTCGTCTCTACTAAAAATACAAAAAATTAGCCGGGTGTAGTGGCGGGCGCCTGTAGTTCCAGCTACTCAGGAGGCTGAGGCAGGAGAATGGCATGAACCCGGGAGGTGGAGGTTGCAGGGAGCCGAGATCGCACCACTGGACTCCAGCCTGGGCGACAGAGCAAAACTCCGTCTCAAAAAAAAAAAAAAAGAAGAAGAAGAAGAGGTTAAGATATAGACCTGTCCAGAGGGAAGACCATGTGAAGCCAGAGGGAAGTGACCATCTGCAAGTCAAGGAGAGAGGCTTCAGAAGGAACCAGTCTGCTGACACCTTGATCTCAGATTTCCAGACCCCCAAATGTGAAAGAATAAACTTCTGTTGCTTAGGCCACCCAATCCGTGGCGTTTGTTATGGAGCCCTAGCACAGTAATACACTTTCTTATGCCCCGAGGGGGAGCAAGGCAACAGCCCTGGGCTTTGTGTAAAAGAAAGAGTTGCTGGGGAGCGTCCCCTTACGACTGCGAGCCTCTGTGGCAGAACTTTAAATCACTGGCAGTAGTAGCAGTGGTAGTTTTTCCCTAAGCCACGTTCGGCCTCCAAGTGAGAGACGGCACATAGATCATAGGGAAGTTGTTTTGGGTAGGGCCTGAGGGCATCTTCTTTCACACTGCTCGTTCTCTCCCTCTTTGGAATGCTACCGAGCACCACCCCACCTGCTCAGATGGCTTTTCATGGAGGTGCGCATGTTTCATTCCTGGAAACCACACAAGTATTCCAGTTGCATCAGCCTCTAGTGTGCCCAGCACATGATAAATGCGTGATTCTCCAATAATCAGAGAGTTGCGTAACTATTAAATATAGGTCCTCAAGTGTTTATCCATCCTGTTGATGATCTATCTGGCACTTATGATAAAGTTCTGTTATTTGCAATTAATCCCAACCAGCATGTTTCTTTCAGAAGTTAACAATAAGCATTTTAAAGACTTTGCTGTCTTTGTCTGGGATATTAATTTCTTCCCATATACATAATTTTACCTCTTATTGTTGTCGGTCACTTTTTATTGGGGGGAAGTAAAATGAAACAACAAAAAAATACATTATTTCAAAGCTCCAAATTTTAACACTGATTTTGGGGAGTACAATTTAGCGGCTGTTCCAAATAATCACAACCCATGAGAAAATGATTTGATTCCTTAAAAAATATAGAAGCTATTGTTTAAATTTCATTTTCAGTAATTCATTGACATTACATTTTTCCCTAAAAATTATCTTTACTCTTTCTGTTGTTTCAGATAATTCAGTATTTCTTAAAATGTAAAACATGCGATATTTATTAAAAAACATAAAATAGCAAAACTATAGTCAATAGACATTGAGTCAACATTGTCATTTCATTCCTTGACATTACAGACAAATACCCTTCAATCTTTTGGAAAAATAAAATGCCTAATATGTTTATTTATCTCATCTTCATTATCCTAAAATATGTGCTCTCTCTCTCTCACACACACACACCCCACACACCTTTATAAAGCATACTTTCTGAAAATGAAACTTTTAATAGACATGTATCCTAAGAGGGCTTTAATACATGGGGTTTTTACTTGTTGAGCCATTCAAACCACACTCACATAAATATATTAGCTAATGCTGTAAGATGCCTGCTAGTTTTTTTTTTTTTGAGACGGAGTCTCGCTCTGTCGCCCAGGCTGAAGTGCAATGGTGCGATCTCGGCTCACTGCAAGCTCCACCTCCCGGGTTCATGCCATTCTCCTGCCTCAACCTCCTGGGTAGCTGGGACTACAGCCACCACGCCCGGCTAATTTTTTGTATTTTTAGTGAGACGGGGTTTCACTATGTTAGCCAGGATGGTCTCGATCTCCTGACCTCGTGATCCGCCCTCCTCGGCCTCCCAAAGTGCTGGGATCACAGGCATGAGCCACCGCGCCCCGCCTGTTTTTTTTTTTTTTAAAGGCCTTTTAATAAGCAGGAAGATTTGATGGCCCAAAAGGACAGGAAGACTTAGGCTTGCATTAGATACTAAAATCATGACGCATCTTTCCTGGTTTTGCCATTTTAAATTTCACATAATTTTATAATAATGTTTACTTCCTTGCTGTAATGCTTTATTTTTCTCCAAAAATTTTTACCATTTTATTCATAATGAAGAGTAACTTCTAGTTCTTTGAATAATTAGGAAGCAGTCATAAACATTAGCTCAAAATGGAAAGTAATGATGTTTTTTGAGTGAAAATTGAATTAGGAAAATAAAAAAGAGGCACAAGCCAGGCATAGGTAGCCAATATGAAATTATTGCAGAATAAGTCGTTCTTAATGGAATATATGTGTTTCATAATGTGCTCTCTCAGTTCATGTTAGGCCCAGAAATCTTACAGTGCTATCAAAATGGGGAAAGATAGAATGGGTATTATTTGTTAAATAAATAATCACTTGAGTGAATGAATAAATGGTAGTATAAAATAAAGTATCTGATACGTTGTTAAATCATTTAACATAGATTTAACATAGAATTAGAGTTAGTCCCAGAAGACCATTGTCAACATGACTTTAGCCATTTTTTCTTTAGAAAATAGATTTCTCTTTTTCTTTTTTTTTTCTCTTGCTTTTATTCCTAAAACCCAAATAAAATAAAAGGAGGCGGGCTTATGTGCTCTTTGATCAGGGCTCTGGTTTCATTTTTCTACTTATTTCTCAGTTTCACCCTGTTAGGTCTGGGATTTGATTTTACTGTCTTTACAGGCTACTAAATTAGCTTGTTACTGTTTCATAGGTGCTGGAAGAACATATTAAACTTCTGGGTCAGAGACAAAGAACTTTACTACTCAGGGCTCTGCAAGCAGCAGAAACATCAGCATGTTTGCATCAGTTCACCTTGCCCCAAGCCCCATAAGGGTGACACAATATGACCCAGATGGATGCTACACACACAGAGGGTTTGTATCACAGCTAGGGGGCACTGAGCTTAGATAATTCATTGCTTTTATAATAATGAGTTAGCAAATCTGCTCTTTGTTTCTGATTGAGATATTATCTTTTTTCTCAAGGTTGCTTGCTATAAACATAATCCTGAGAAATGGCTCAGGAAAAAAGGCATCAGGACGTTGCATTCTGGCATACCCAGAAAGACATATAGAAGCACTAGAGACCCATGAAGGACTGACTGTCTCTCCCAACACACCTTGTGGTGGTTTTGTCTTCACATTGGCTTTCTCCATTGGCTGCAAATCAGTATCCATGGAGAAGAGGCCTTGCCCTGACGGCAATCCAGAGAAGTCTTGAGCTTCCCTGTGATTGGAGCATACATGAATTAATCACTCAGGCCAAGGAAATCTCCTTGATTTTGGCTCAGGTTTTGTACCTATCTCTGTGTTAAGGAGGAATAATTACTCTGATTGCCTTAGATCAACACTGCTGGGGTGGGAGGATCAATTCTACCTAAACCAATAGCTACTAACCAATGGGAAATAGAATGTTAGGGAGGTGGCCACTACCTATTCCACACGGTCTCTAAGGTGTATAATTGAGGAATTTTGGTCTATTTCAAATGTTCCAAGTCTAATAAAGTAAACAAAAAAATAAATTAGAACTCTTTGTCTCTCTTTTCTATGTCTTTATTCTGGGAACTCTTATTTATTTTTTTTACTCATATTAATTGGGCACCAATCATTCATCAGGAGCTATTAGACTTGGGGATAGAATTCTGAATAAGTCAGCAATGACTCCTAGTCTCACAGGGTTAATAACCTAGCATAGGATTCAGACAACTTAAGAGACCTTTAGACTGAGAGGGAAAGTACAGAGTGATAGTAGCACGTGGAAGGAACACCTAACCTGGACACCAGGAAGGTCGGGAAAGTCCTCCTGGAGAATGTGATCTCTAATCTGAGGCCGGAGGATGAGGAGAAATTATTAGGTGATTTATGTGTGGACAAGGACTGAATAGCTTGGAGAAATGCCTAAGCAGGTGAAACAAAAAAGCAATTTTGAGAAAAGAACAGTACTTCTGTGTGTCTGAATCATCAAATTCAAGGTAGGGGTAGTAAGCAACAAGGTGGAAGAAGTAGGTAGTGGGAGGCAGAAAGTGTTTCCATGTAAAAAAGTTCGGACTTTATCCGGGAGCCCTTGAAGATTTGAACTATAGGAAAAATAACATAGACATTATATTTCAAAATTTCACCCTGGCTTTGGAGTAAAAAATGAATTGAGGGTGGAAACAAGCCTGGAATAGAGACAACAGTTAGGAGACTGTTGAAGTCCAGGTCAGAGATAGACATGGTCCCAGGAGTAGGAAATGAGGGAAGGAGCAGATTTCCAAACTATTTAGAAGTTAGATCCATAGGTCTTTTTTTTTTTTTTTCTTTCTCAGATGGAGTCTTGCTCTATTGCCCAGGCTGGAGTGCAGTGGTACGGTCTCGGCTCACTGCAACCTCTGCCTCCCAGGTTCAAGCAATTCTCTTGCCTCAGCCTCCCGAGTAGCTGGGATTACAGGTGTGCACCACCACGCCCAGCTAATTTTTGTACTTTTGGTAGAGATGGGGTTTCACCATGTTGGCCAGGCTGGTCTTGAGCTCCTGACCTCAAGTGATCCACCCACCTTGCCCACCTTGTCTTCCCCAAATGCTGGGATTACAGGCATGCAGCACTGCGCATAGCCAGATCCATAGGTCTTAATGGATAATTGGTTGCATGAGATAAGCATCAGGGAATACATAAGACCTGGAGGCAGAATAGCAATGATTAAGAATAGGTATTAGGGCAGACAAATTCGGGCAGACAAAAGTTCAAACCCTGGCTCTATCGCTTAGGATTTAAAGCACTGTTAATTATCAGTAAAAGAGAAACACTAATACCTATCTAGCATGGTTGCTTTGAAAATAAATACAACATTATATTTCAAGTTCCTGCACAGAATAAATCTTTGATAAGAGTGGCTACAGAGGCAAGAAGAAAGCCTAGAGCTTGCTGGGCCCAAGAAGCCTAAGGGAGAAATGATTTAAGGAGGACACCATCACTAATTTGAAGCTAGACTTGAGTGGATTGAGGAGCAGAAGGGACATGAAAAAGTAAAAAGAACAAATATGAAAGTGTTTTTTTTCTTTGTTCTCAGAGCTCATTTTTTAAAAATTTTTACTTTAAGTTCTGGGATACATGTGCAGAACATGCAGGTTTGTTACATAGGTATACATGTGCCATGGTTGTTTGCTGCACCTATCAACCCGTCATCTAGGTTTTAAGCCCCGCATGCGTTATGTGTCGTAATGCTCTCCCTCCCTTTGTACCCCACCCTCCGACAGGCCTCAGTGTGTGATGTTTCCCTCCCTGTGTCTATGTGTTCTCATTGTTCAACTCCCACTTATGAGTGAGAACATGTGGTGTTTGGTTTACTGTTCCTGTGCTAGTTTGCTGAGAATGATGGCTTCCAGCTTCATCCATGTCCCCTGCAAAGGACATTAACACATTCTTTTTTTATGGCTGCATAGTATTCCATGGTGTATATGTGCCATATTTTCTTTATCCAGTCTATCACTGATGGACATTTGGGTTGGTTCCAAGTCTTTGCTATTGTAATTAGTGTCAAAGCTCATATTTTATGATGTCTCTTGTAACTATTGTTTAAAGGAAAGACTGGGAAAGTCAATTCGTGTTTCTGAAAAGAATCAAACTTGGGATGAGTATCTGGCCCTCATGACCTTCAAAGGGTCTCTTCCAGTGCCACAATCTCTGATTTCATTGTCCTCACTCCAGTGATGAGTCACAAATAAAATCACTTGATGCCTTTGGCTTCTGGGGAGCATGGGCTGTGTAAAATGTTCATTGTACCACAGGTCCTTGAATAATGCCATTTTATTCAACATTGTTTCATGACAACATTGATGAGAAAAAAAAATGTATTTCCAGCTGGGGCCACTGTTTGTATGGAGTTTGAAAGTTCTCCCCATGTCTGTATAGGTTTTCTCCAGGTCCTCTGGTTTCCTGCCACATCCCAAAGCTGTGCTCATGAGATGAACTGGCATGTCTAAATGGTCCCCATCTGAGTGAGTGTGTGTGTGTGTGTGTGTGTGTGTGTGTGTGTGTGCACCCTCTGATGGGATGGTCAGGGCTGTCCAGGGCTGATTCCTGCCTTGCGCCCTAAGCTGCAGGGAGAGGCTCAAGCCACTGGAGATCCTGAATGGGAATAAGTGGGTTGGAGGAGGAATGAATGTATGGATGCAAATTATTTTCAAAAAAAATTCATAAAATATATGTTAATCACACAAATGCACAGCAATAGATGATGCTGTATGAAATTTCTCAGTGAGCCTGCTATATTTGTGGTGGTTTTGAACTGCATTGTGACAGGAGGTACTCCTTATAATTTTCCTTTTGCAAACATTTATTCCTTGATTGAATCCACCACCACTACAGCTGCCCTCACTCACTGATTCACCAAAAATTGGGTCCATGATTATCTTGTTTTTATTAATCTTTCTTAAATGCATGTGTAGCTGACATTTATTTCCATGTTTAATATTAGAAGTGTTTTAATCTTATTTAAAAGTTTGGTGATGTCTTTGTGACCAGAAATAGACTGTAGTCACTTAACCTTGTTTTTATCAATTAGTCGATGGTAAAATTGGTTTTAAAGTCACAGTTTCCATGAACCTATCTGTGACGTTTTAAGTGAGGACTTACTGTATATAGTGCTTCTTAGTGCTGAAACAGGCAGCGTGTCTGGAAATTTTGTTTGGTACCACAAGTAACACAAACAAACTTTCCCAGGCTCTTCCTTATTTAGTATGTTTTTATGTGGATGAATGTTATGGAAAACAAAAGTATTATAGGAAAATTAAAATGTCCTTTTTGTACATTTTTGGCAGATTGTATTCAGATTTAAAACATTTAAATATTTGGAATATACAAAATCTGCTTTTATATTGGACCACCCAGATTCATGACATGGGATGACAAACTATAAAAATAAGAAACCTGTAGGTGACATTGTACATTTTATGCAGTTGACTAACTGTTGGGTTTGGGTTTAAGAAGATCAGCAGGTAGAAAGAAAACAAAACACGTTAAAATTTAACATACCCAAAACTATGCAATAGATGTAATTATAAGAATGTAGTTTCCAGGAGAAAAATTCATATTCATTTTCTCTCTTTCTCTCTCCCTTTCTGTCTCTTCTCTTCCCCTTTCTCTAAATATATGGTTCAGAAAGGTACTTTTCAGAGCTGGAGGTTTATTAACAAAAAGTTTGTGCTTTCTTTTGTTTCCTCTTATAGGAATAATTCAGCAGAATGCAGACAGAAAAGTAGTAATTTAACTCATTTTAACTCTTTTTTGTCTATTCCATTCATAAATGTGGCAAGTCTCAAAACATTTATTTGAGAGAATCTAATCCTCTAGTAGTTGAATTCCCAACGCTCCTATTTTAGGACGTCATTCATGGCGTGGAGATTAAACCTTCATGTGTCCTTTACTATTTACAGAATTATTAAATGTAAGTTTTTCAATCATACTTATACCATTAACTGCTTGGATTTAATCTGTTAGTGCAAGATAACTTTGGCTCTCCCTTCCGTCCTCCTTTCCCTTATCTCGCCCCACGTGAGGACATTCTCCTGTGTGTGAAGCTGCTTTCCTTTCCTCGAAGGTGGGCCGAGCAAAGGAGAGTGACGCAAGAGTGGGCTGTGTCCTGGATGCTGCGAGCGCCTCTGCCTCCTTGAGAATGAGCCCATTAGCCGCACAAATTCGCAGCAGGCGGCTGGGGCGGCGGCTGGGGCAGCGGCTGCAGCAGCGGCGGACGCTCTGCATTACCCAGTCTTGCGTCCTCGGCAGGCGCCCGAAGCTGAGTGCGCATCCTCTACCGCACCCAAGCTTCGTCTGTCTCGTCAAGCTCTTCATGCTGCCCAACTAAAAGGAAAACATGGGCACAGGGGATTTTATCTGCATTTCCATGACTGGAGGGGCGCCCTGGGGGTTCAGATTGCAAGGTGGCAAGGAGCAGAAGCAGCCCTTACAAGTTGCAAAGGTAGGACCTGAACGAAGTGTCACGGCTCTGTGCTAGGAAGGAAGGAATGAAAGCAACCTGCTGATGGTGTTTTCAGGTTCTGATGCAGAAGTCTAAGTATTATTTGATTTTGCTGCGGATATTAAGATTTTTCTAGGAAGTGAGTTATTTTCTAAGAAACTTTGGAGAGTAATGGGCCACATCCTATGTAATTAACTTGCAATCGATGAGGGGTGGGTGGGAAGAATGCCATATTTATCAGCTGAGGAAAAGGCCTAGTTAACCATGTTCTTCTGACAACAAGCAAGACACTGGGGAGCGTTTCTTCCAGGCAATTTTAGAATGTTCAGTTGAGTTATTGTTTGATGTCACTTCACTTGGCTCTGGCAGAGGAGAAACGCTCAGTTCAGCATAACGACTTTGCTTGGCTATTTTGGGGACTCATATAGAGTGTTGGTAGTGACATTTATTATGCAGCATTCATGAAAAGGCCAATGTTGGGCAATAATTTTAAAAGTATGATGAAGTGTCATAAAATCTATTTAAAAGAATACCCTTTTAAGGATTTGACAAATAAATGCAAAAATCCAATAAATGCTGTATTCCTTCTTATGTACTCTTTTGGTCAAGATCTCAAAAATAAACTTAGAAGATAATCTAAATATATTATGAGTAACTAAGAGGTAACTTTGTAACACATTAATAACTATTTAAAATGCTTTAAGTTTTTATTGCCATTAGATTGCCTGCATTACTGGTTAGCCCAAGGGGATCTGGTATTCTCTAATTGGCATTCAGCTAAAATAAAACTTAAAATGCACAAAACTAAGCAAACTTTTACCTAACCTTATCATCAAATTGCAAATTATAGTATTGTATTGAAGAACATGCAAGAGCATGGGATTAATTTCCTATTTTATGCTTATATTAAAAATGGGTACAGATCTTTATGAAATACATGGGCCATTGCCTTTGTAGTTATTGTTTGTTTCCCTCTGGCTTTTACTCTTTTTTTTTTGTAGTTATTGTTTCCCTCTGCCTTTTACGTTTTTTTTTTTTTAGTGTCCTTTGCGAAGAAAGAAGTTTCTTTGAAACTCCTTTTTGCTTCCAGGCATCATATGTAAATCCTTTCGTAATGTGATGGTGGAATCCTGCCACCTAGTGAAAATTGCAAACATCAAGAATGAACCATAAAACAGTAGATGAAAAGCAGAGTTTTTATTACTGGAAAGTTCCTCCGAGGTCTGCAGTTCAACCCATGAATTTTAGATGAGGAAAGAGCCCAGAGATGTTAAGTAACTTGCCTTAAGTTTTCAGCTTGGAACTGGCAGAGTGATTAAAGGCTCAGAAAGGTGGTTTTGTTGGGTTCCTTTAGGAGTCAATAGCAGGCAACCTCAGATAAAATATGAATGCCCAATTTAGCATATGTAGAATTCATGACACTGAAGCAGATTTGTCCTGAGTCTAGAATAGCAGTTGGCTGGCTCTAGGTATGAGATTTGGGTTCTAATTCCAGCTCTGATCTAACTTGCAGCCTGGCCTTAGGAAAATCTCTCACCCTTCCTGTCTCATCGGTTTCTCTCTCTCTCTCTCTCTCTCTCTCTCTCTCTCTCTGTGTGTGTGTGTGTGTGTGTGTAGGGAGAGAGAGACAAATATTTTAACTTAGGTGGTAAAGAAGTAAGAAAGAAATTGGACTGTGCAGTCTACGAAGCTCTGTCTTGCCCAAGTATTCTACGATCCTGATAGTGTACAGTTTTAGAATCGCTTGCCTACTAATTGAAATATGGGGACAGAGTGGCTGAGTGCTGTTGTTCTCTGGTGGCTCTTTGGCAGCCAGGCCTCAAGAATAGAGTGGGTAGTGGGTTTCTTCTGAGTTCTGCATGTGACGATTTCAATGTGGGACCTCTTTGCGGCGATTCACTGAAGAGCTGAAGCAGATTGCTAGGAAAGGGTGCTGTGGAGATTCTCTGCTAATGGCATCTCTATTTTCAGGATTCAGTAAGGTTGTTAGGCTATGTCAGAATCCAGTCCTACACTCCCCCTAAATCATCCTTCCTAAAATACCCAGCAATACATTTGTGGTTTTCAAAAGATCATTATTAAGGCATCTAGATGTTTGCTTTGCTTTTGTAGTTTGTGATACTATACTTAGAGCTATAGATTTTAAAATATCATTATAAAAGTATCTGGAAGTTTGCCTTAATTTTTGTGTGTTTGTGTGTGCAAGAGAGAGAGAGAGACAGACTGTAGTCTACAGTCTACCTTTTGTCCATACGTTAAAAAGACTAAAGAGCTATCTATAGAAGATGTAAGTTCTAAATTACTGTGGCAATGCACAATTTTTGTTGGTCTTTTTCTTTTTTTAGTTCAAATGATTATGTTTGATTTCTTATACTAGCATTATTTGTGGGAGAAATCCCTTGGAACAAAGCGCTTATCACTTTCTCTGTTATCAAGGCCATTGCCTCATTAGGATCACTGTATTTTATTTAAAATATTAAGTCAATTCAATTCTATTCATGGTATCTCAATGTGTTCAAGGCAAAGTGAATGTTGCTTGGGCATAAACTTTCTCTTCTTGTAAGGACTGGTGATAGCTTATTAGGGCTGGATGCAAGGAAAGAGACAGAAAGGCTAGAGAGATGGTTGCTGTCAAATCAAATGTTCACAGTTTTGAATAACATGCACAAAATTAATTTGGGAGTTGAAGGAAAACTTAAATTTTCAAAGAAAAGAAAATTTCGGCGAGTGCTTGAACCATGCTCCTTAAAATGGGAATGCTACAAAGCAGTTCTGTAGACAATAACACATTTTGGCTTTTTGTGAAATATCTACATATTTAGGTTTTTCATAATTCTATATAGAGTAAAAATCTAACAGGCAGAAATAGTGCAAAAAAACAGTCTAATGTTATTAAGAACAATAAAAAATTGAATAACTTTATAATTCCCGATAAATATCCTTATATTGACATATTTAGTCACTTCTGAGATATGTTCAAACATGTTTAGTATTTGGTTAGCTGGTTGAACTATACGCAAACCCCAAATTTTAAAGATAAATAACAGGAATATTCATTATCAAAACTTGTCATTGACGGTTAAGCTCAATGGCACGAAAATCTGTTTTGTTTTAAAAAATAAACCAAATTTTTAAAAGCCCAAGTAATCAGTAACATAAGCTTGTTTTTAAAATGTTTGTATATCTTTTAATTTATATTCTAAATATATGTGATGGGAGGCAAACATTTCTAACACTGAGTTATAGCATAACACTCTGCAAAGTATATTTTCAAGAGATTATAAACAGAAACAAATTTATCCAAACAGAAAACCCCACTGTGTGTGCAGATAGCTTTACAAAAAGAATGTGAGCACTTCTTCTTTATGAAACTCTCTCTTTTGGGACATGTACTTATCTGGCCCTGTCTCAGGACATACTTTTGGCAAATCACTTTGAAAAATCCTCATATAAAGGAGTGGGGAGAAATTTTTGTTTTACAAAAAATCTTACCTGCAATTGAAAAATTACTCACATTTTGAAAATAATTAAGAAAAAAATGTTCAGACTGTTTATCCTTTATATGTTTTAATATAGTTAGAAATTTATTTTTTCTTCAAATCTTATGCACCACTATAGTATGTGTTCTACTGAATTTAGTTCAAAGTTTCAAATAATTGTTCATTAAAATTGAGGTGACATTGTATAATCCTTCATTTCATAAGGCCAAAATGAATTTAATAATTCTTATCTATTATTGGATATGTGTTCTTTAAGATTTTGAATAAAAATGTATTATTTACACAAAGCACATTTCAGATAATATAATTCTTATCCCTTAGTGCCATCAGTAAGGTTTTTAAAATGTTTCAAATAGAAGAATTCCAGAAACATAGGTATTTCTAAAGGGGGAAAAAGATTTTAATGTGTTTGAATATGTATACTTGAGAATAAATGCTCCTTCCTATATATGAAAACTGGTAATATCTTTATTAAAATATGCTTAATCACTTAATCTTTAAATTGATTTTAAGCCCTTTCTAGGAATTTTAAACACAGACATGCTTATAGAAGTTAGTGTGCTCTAGATAAATCTATTAAGTAGGCGATATTAAAAAATCCTTATTTTGGAATTGTATATTTTAAGGGAGGTTTCTGAAAGATGACAATGAGATAAAATATTCATTATGCATGAACTTTGCCATTAGCTGGACGTAGCACATATGTAGCTTACATGTGTCAAGCCCTTGCTATGTGCCAGGAAAATTTGCAAGTGCTTTGCTAGTATTATCTCTTCAAATGTTCCTCAAAACCTAAACAGTAGGTATGAAAAAATCCTCATTTTAGAGATGAGGAAATTGTGGCACAGAAAGGCTACATTGCTTGCCAATGGTTAAGCTACAAAAAATGATGAGATTTGATTTTTCTTCTTCCTTATTGGTGGAAACAGGTGCCCGAGAGGATAAAAGTAGGTTAAAGTGGTCCCAAAAGGAAAGATTATTTAAAATAAATACCATAGTTTGTACCCAACCTTGATTTCATTATTGGTCTGGGGTTCACCCTGGACATCAGGATTTATAAACATTCCAAAGGGAATTCTGATGTGTGGTCAAGATTCACAACCACTGCTATAGAAAGTTAAGGCCAAAAAATTCTGATGTTCTACTGCACAGCAGGGTACTATAGTTGATAATAACGTATTGTATATTTCAAAATAGCTAAAAAAAAAAGGAGTTTAAATGTTCTCGTCACAAAGAAATGATAAATATTTGAGGTGATGGATATGCTAATTAGCCTGATTTGATCATTCCACAATGTATACATGTATCACTACATCACGTTGTACCCCATAATACATGCAACTATTATTTGTCAATTAAAAATAAAATAAAACTTAAAAAAGAAGATATATATATATATGAATATATATTATATATATTTTGCTGGTTCATGAAATCATCATCATCAATCATCTAAGATTCTTTACTGCTCTGATGTTCTATAATTGTCATGAAAATTCAAGAAGAGGTTAAAAAAAAAAGTGAGGCCAGATAGGTCCCCATAGGGCTTGACGGGTGGTGGCACATTATGTCCCTTCCGCCCTTCCCCACTGCCTCTCTCCTAGTCAAGTTAAGAGGAAGATCAGAGAGAGGCTAAAAATTATCTGAGTTTTTGGCACTGTGAGCAGGTCATAATAGTGGTGGGAGGGTTTTCCCTTTCTGAAGCCAGAATGGATGGGCTGCCTGGGTCAGCGGGAGTGGGGAAGAGGAGGTATTGGGAAGCTCCAAAATGATTACTGTAAAGATCAGGGGAACTGGCAAGAGGGGAGACTAGCAGTTTATTTCCTGGTAGCTTGTCTTCTCCATCCGTGGACTTGCTAGCCTGCCTAGTGCCTTCATAAGTGGGAGTGGGTGGACGTGTTGGGGGAACGTCGGGGGAACGTCGGGGGAACATCAGGGGAACAAAACTGGAGAAAGATGCAGGGGGAAGGAGAGTAGGAGAAAAGGGAGGAAGAAGAGAGAGAGAGATAATATGATTTGCTTTAAAAACAATTGCCTTTGTTTAATACTCAGTAAAAGTTCAGAGTTCTTATTCTAAGTTGAGAATTCTATATTCTGACAGTAATATTCAAGAAACACTTCTCTAGGCTAACTGAAACTATACATCTACCTAATAGCAAAAAGCATCCCAGGTTACTAAAGTCTGATTCACATTTTAAAAAAAAAAAAAGAAGAAAAAGAAAGAGGAAGAATATACACTTCTTGTTATGCCCAGTCAAATTTTCATTCATTTTGCCTAGAAATATTAGTTTCAACATGATCATCAATGGAAGTCACATGAGTTGGTGATAAGTTTTCATGACTAACATACATAAAGAACACGTGATTGATATGAACCTGTGTGATGTAAATGATTTTTTTTAAGGAGTGTCAACTCATTCCATTATAAACATATATTTCTTCCAGTAACTGCTTTCAACATGATAAAGATGAATCCCTTTGTTAGTAACATTTTGGGCAGATCTCATCTTTTCTGGTGGCTTTTGGTTATTAAAACAGTCAACTTTAATTAAAGCTTCAGTCAACTATCTGACTCTAAACTCTTTCCCTAGTCACTGTGGCCAGGCTTGTGGCTCCAGGGTGTGGCATGGAAAGGAGGGTACCTGCTCTTTACCCATATCCCTCTAGCCCCTCCATGGTTGAGGGAAGGAGGAAAGATGTGAAGAGGAAAGGGGCAGATAGATATATTTATTCATAACTGAATGAGGTGGCGTTTCTCTCTTCTTTGGGTGTTGTGCTTCTTTGGTTAATGTGAGGACCCATTAATGTCCTCTCTGAGGCTGGTGTCCAAATTCTGGAGCATGTGTATGGTTTCTTCCGGGAGAGCTAGAGGGCCTCATTAGTGCACAGTCCCCTAACACAGGAAATCAGGCTTCTGATAATCTCTTCTGTACCCCCTACAAGCCCATTGGTTCATCAAGATACCAGCTTTCTCCTGCTAGACTCTGGTTGAGTTTGGCCTTTCTGGGTAGGGCCTTGGCAAGATGGTTCAAATCTAGCCACCTTTTAAGATAGTCACTCATCCACAGGAAATGCAAGGATCCTTGCCTTGCCAAATGGGGACATCAGTATGCAGTGTCATTGTGACATACACATTATACCTAACTGGATATTTTGCATATTTTTCATAGCAATCTTCTTAATGTAGCTTCCAAAATAACTTCTCTCTGTCAGTTAATTAGTGTTTAAGAATATAAACGAATTTATATATTTGGCTAAAAATACTTCACATGTGTATATCTTATAATTTCCAAAGTGTGTCTTAATATATGTTATCTCTTTTAATATTAATTCGGTTGATAAAGTTTTATAATTCTCAGTTTATAGATTAAAAAAACTGATCCTGAAAAATAAATTAATTGCAAAAGCATTATATAAAGAAGCCCAAAGTTAAATATAATTCTTTCCCTCTGTTAGGGGCATCAAGCTACTCCCCTGCGTCAGCCTGGATAAAAAGAACAGGCTGTCACTTAGTATTGTTGAAAATTGCAATGACTTTAATACAGAGTTTGTATGAAATAGAATCTCACTAAATCTAACCTTAATCCTTGAAAACATTGATAACAAACTATTCTTTTTTTTAATGGGCCTAAGGAAAATGATTACAGGAACACATCTGTAAGATAATGTGCAATGGGAGAAAGACTGAAAATGGAACCAGTCTGCTTATCAATAAACCTGAAGAATATATGGACTCCAAGTTTATTGTGTCTTTTCTAACAGATTCGTGATGAAACTGAATGCAGTGAGGTTCTTATAAAAGCAAATGGAGAATTTCTGAAACAGATTCATTAAAGAATTCTGAAGAGTAAACACCTTCATGAAGTTAAAAGACTCATCTCAGAAAGAAAATAATGTCTGCTCTTTTGAGGGATATTTCATTATTTGACAACCTCAATGAGAACATGTTTATGGTTTTGGATTACTTTAGGCACCTAGTGTTTCTAAATCGTCTATCATTCTTTTCTGTTTTTCAAAAGCAGAGATGGCCAGAGTCTCAACAAACTGTATCTTCAAGTCTTTGTGAAATTCTTTGCATGTGGCAGATTATTGGATGTAGTTTCCTTTAACTAGCATATAAATCTGGTGTGTTTCAGATAAATGAACAGCAAATTGTGGTGGAATTACCATTTGGAACATTGTGAATGAAAAATTGTGTCTCTAGATTATGTAACAAATAACTATTTCCTAACCATTGATCTTTGGATTTTTATAATCCTACTCACAAATGACTAGCTTCTCCTCTTGTATTTTGAAGCAGTGTGGGTGCTGGATTGATAAAAAAAAAAAATGAAGGATGACCTTTCCTGAACAGAATTATGGATTTATGTCTGTATTAGTTCATTTTCACACTGCTACAAAGAACTGTTTGAGACTGGGTAATTTATAAAGGAAAGAGGTTTAATTGACTCACAGTTTCACATGGCTGGGGAGGCCTCAGGAAACTTAGAATCATGGGAGAAAGTGAAGGGGAAGCAAGGCACATCCTACATGGCATCAGGAGAGAGAAAGAGTGAGTCGGGGACTGCCAAACACTTTCAAACCATCAGATCTTGTGAGAGCTCACTCACTATCATGAGAACAGCATGGGGGAAACCACCCCCATGATCCAATCCCCTCCCACCAGTTCCCTCCCTCAACATGTGAGGATTGCAATTTGAGATGAGATTTCAGTGGGGACACAGAGCAAACCATATCAATATTTTATGTGATTCTACCTATAGATACTCCCCCTTCCTTCACCCCTCTTCCTTCATCCTGTTTAACAGAATTTACCTTCTTGAATTTCACCTTTTCAGGACATGTTATTTTTATCCTAGGAAATCTGTAATCATGACCAATGAGTGTCATTTAACCCCAAATATCTTGTCGCCTTTAATAGTATCTTCTGGAGAAAATTTTATTTAAGAAACTCATATATGATGTTTACTAGGTGCCAGGCACTTCTTGAATCACCTTTTAAATATAATGACAGAACTCTGAGGTTACCCTTAGTTAAGATCCCCATTACAGGGGCACAAAGAGGTTAAGTGACTTCTCCAGGTCACATGGGTATGTATGATCAGAGCTGGGGTTCACATCTAAAGAGCCTGGAACCAGGGCTTGTGTTCTAAGCTCCTAGACATGTCACTTTTGGGTCTAGTGTAGTTTGAACAGCCAGTTAGGACGGGAAGACAGCATCTCAACAAGAGCATGCTGGAGAGATTTTTGTGACCCCTTAAACCAAACCTGCTTTTCTTGTTCTGACATTAAGTATAATCTCAATTACTTAATGTCAAATCATTTTATTTGAAACTTTTATTTCCAGAACGAATAATTTAGGAAATAAAATAGAAGTAGGCTAGAAACATTTATAATTCTGCTTTCTGAAGGATGATAATTTTCTATTTTCTTAGCAAGATTTTCCATGTCTTCTTGAAAACTATGGCATGATACCTTGTTTTTGAAGCAAAAACCTTCAAGCAGCTGACCATTTTTGAGAATTTTGTCATGCAGTTCAAGACATATCAGAGGTGAAATTATTAAGAGGTTATAAATCCAATGTGTTTTGCTGGCAGTCTAGATACTGATTTTCTACCTCCTCAGTAGCCCCTATTCCATTTCCTGCTCTGTGTTCCTGCTCCCACCACCTCGGCTCAGGTCCTTATTTTTGTCTCTTAGATAATTATATTGGCCCTGTAACTGGTCTCCTTGTTTCTGGTTTCACATTCCTTGAGTTCATGCTACAGAGAGCTGCCAGAGAGATTTTTCTAAATCACCTGTTATATCACTGCTTAAAATACTTCAAAGGCTCCCCATCACTGTCATCGAGATAACCATAACATTGGTTTTATCTTATGTGCAGACATGGGTTAAGCACTTTAGGAATTATTTTGTTACTAATATTCCTACAATCATTTTTTTTAACAGTGGAGGAAACTGAGGCTTAGAGAAGTTAAGTAAAAAATTGAAGATCATATAGTTAGTAAATGGCAAAACCAGGACAGAAGCCAGTTTGATGACAAAGCCCATGCCCTTAGCTGCCACCCTGCAGTGAGGCTTGTTCACAGGCCGACGGCCCCGCTGTGGCACATGAAGCTCTCTGTGATCTGGATGCTGACAAACTGTCCAGCCCCATCACCTGTCACCCTCCCAGAAGTGCATTTAGCTATTTGAAAATACCACAGTTCTCTCAAACACTGTTCCTCCCTGGTTGCTTCATCCCTGCTGTGTCCTTGGCTGGAATGCTTGTCCACCCCATCTCCTGGCACCTTCCCTAAAATGCTTGGAGAAATTGTACTTACCCTGGAAATCTCTGTTAAAGTCAGTTCTCTGAGAGGTTTGACTCAATTGTCTAGTCGGAGGGGAGCACTTGCTCTTCCATGTTGCTGTGATCACACACAGCTTTCACCTTGAGCTCCCACGTGCAGCCTGACGCTGAAGCTTTTGTTCACAAGTCTGTTTCCTCCATTAGACCAGTGATAGCCAAAAGGTTTGACTGTGCCTCTTAAATTAAAACAATTTTGAGCATATCCCATATACAGGGTGTATGTACATATATATAAAATATAGTATATATGTACATGTACTGATGGGCTAATATTTTATGTACAGTATAAAACATCCCAAAAAGAAAACTTTAAAGCATGAGATAAAAGGTGAAATAAACAATATTTTAAAACTATTTGTATTTTATTTTCTTGACAATACAAAATGTCTTTTTATTCTCACTGACCAGAACTTTTTTTTTAAGTGAGAACAATGTGATTGACAGACTTTTTCAGATTTTGAAAATCTTGATGTGACCCCATGGGGTACAATGATTCAAAGGTCTAGTGAAACTTTATTTCAGTTCTTGAGTTTAAAGACTGTCAAAGCTGAAATGATAATCTCTTAATATATGCAGGTGCACACTGAAGAAATGAATCATTACCTGATAATCATTTTTCATTTTCGTCAATAAATAATGCAACTATTTTTGTTGCAATTTGACCAGTAGATTTTCATTTTCTCTGATGTCTACCCTTTGTTCTTACAAACTAATTGGAATAGGCTACATTTGTATATTTTAGTATTAAACCCTGGCTGTACTTTTTTGTTTTGTTTTGTTTTGTTTTTGAGACGCAGCCTCGCTCTTGTCACCCAACCTGGAGCGCAATGGTGCCATCTTGGCCCACTGCAACCTCTGCCTCCCAGGTTCAAGCGATTCTCCTGCCTCAGCCTCCTGAGTAGCTGGGATTACAGGCACCTGCCACCATCCCCAGCTAATTTTTGTAGTTTTAGTAGAGATGAGGTTTCACCATGTTGGCCAGGCTGGCCTGGAACTCCTGACTTTAGGGGATCCACCCACCTCAGCCTCCCAAAGTGCTGGGATTACAGGCGTGAGCCACCGCACCCGGCCTGCTGTACTTTTTATTTGAAAAATATGAAATTGGGTTAGAAATTCTTCTTCCTAGTTAAATGTGCTATTATGATGTTTTAAAGAATAATAAATTTAAATAATTTCCAGCCCCAAATCACTTGACTATAGAAATATTTTCAAGAATTTTCTTTCATTTCTTTTTGAAAATTTGCTTTCAAAGCAATTCATGTTAGGGAATATATCATGCTTAGTATCCTAAAATATATGTCAGGTGACCAGCAACTAAAAGCCACTCGTCATCACAGAAAACGTCAACAAATTTGGAACATCCATTTATCTGTTAAATAAAACTGAAATATCCTTAGGTTCCACAAGTATTTTAAGGATTTGCAAGAGATACCATTGGAACCTCAGTGGTACAAATGTCTGTATGATATAAAAACTTTTCCTAGTCACTCCCTATATCATTGCTACATTTTAAAGATTCCAGTATGGTTTAAATGTGAGTTTCTATAAAATTAATCATGACCTCCTGTAGCATTTTTGCACTTCTATTATTTTGCTGCATGAACTTGCCTACAAGTAATGCACTGAATGAATTTGATTTAAGGCACCTTTGTAATCTTACCCTAGAATCTCTTTCTCTCTCTCTCTCTCTCTCTCTCTCTCTCTCTCTCTCTCTATATATATATATATATATATATATATATGTCTGTCTGTCTATCTATCTATCTATCTATCTATCTATCTATCTATCTATCTATAGATATTTGTCAGTTCCTGCTAAAGCCAAGTACTTTATCAATGATTATCAATGTACACAGTTTTTCTACAAAATATTCATTTTCTTGAATTAAAGACTTCATATACTTTTGAGAACTTATCTCCAGTATCTTTCTTTCTTGGATTCCCAGAGAAGTAATTTTTTATTTCAGTATTGAAATATAATTTGAAAATGCCATAAGCCGAGATATTCCAGCAACATATATTTTTTTATCCAACCATACAGGAAACTTCCTCCAATATGTAGTTTGTTTTAGTATTATTTATACTAATTTTCTGATATATTTTTCTTTGCATCTTCAACAGTACTTGCAAAAAAATACATTTTGGTTTGTTGCCATATTGTATTATTTTAGCCACTTTTAATTTGTACCCATGATGATCTTTCTAAACATTATGCTTGGCTTAAATTCTGTTAAGTTTTAAATTGAGTATTGCCTGACTTCAACCCTTGTTGAAAAAACAAATCCAGAAGTTTCTGCTGCTCAGATGTTAGTTTTTAAATAGCTTCCTAATCCCAATTGCTTCACAGTAACACTAACTAAACTCACATCATAAGACACAATAAGGCAAAGTTCCTCTGTCACATATTCCAAATAACCCATATTCCAAATTATCTTCTTGACAATTTTGAGTATTTTCTCTACCTGTCACATAGGATTAAGCAGTAATGGTATTAATCTCACAATATGATGAAAAGTATCCATAGGAGCACAGGCGAAGAGTCAGCTCTGCTGTATTCTTGTTTTTCTGTTGTGCTTGAAATGTGTTATCTTTAATTATTAACTTCCTTTCAGACGTATTTTAATAGGAATCATTTTGTGAGAGTCAATTTCCTTGAAACTAGATAATTATATGGAAATTCACTTAATCAGGCATAGTAAAACATAATATATTGCAAAATACTGAAAGAGAATGAATTGACGAGAAACCCTCCACCCTGCTGGGAGGTGGGTCCCCTTTTTGGTGAGGTCACCAAAGCACTGTGGGAAGTACATAACTGTCTGTCTGGCCCACAGACCAGACTGGACCAGGATACCACTGTAAATCCACATAGTAAAGTAGATTCAATGTTAGTTAGTGCTCATTTCCTTTTCATTTTGTAGATGAAAATAAATGTAGATAAGAATCCAGTGGGCTTGTTAGATAGTTGGGGGAAGAGCCTTCCAGGCACAGGGTTCTAAAGGTACAGGAGCCCTGAGACAGAAGTGTGCTTGGTATGGTCAACAAAAGTAAATGTGCCAATGTAGCTGGCACATATTTCCATGACAAATTATTATGAGAAGTCCAGGCTTTCACAGTGATAAAAATGAAAAACTCTCTCTCCTGGGAACTCTGGCCATGTGGTTATTTTCCCATCATTAAATGATTAATGCACAGGTCCTTTAAGAACAACTTTGCAATGTGGTCTTCAAATTTCCTCTTCATCCATTTCGGCTTCTCATGATGTAGCAGCCTACTGACCAGTCTCTAGAGCACCTGTATTCGTCCATTTTCACACTGCCGATAAAGACATACCTGAGACTAAGTAATTTATAAAGAAAAAGAGGTTTAATGAACTCACAGTTCCACGTGGCTGGAAAGGCCTCACAATCATGGTGGAAGGAAAATGGCAGCAGACAAGAGAGAATGAGAGCCAAGCAAAAGGGGTTTCCCCTTATAAAACCATCAGATCTGGTGAGACTTACTTATTCACTACCAGGAGAATAGTATGAGGGAAACCGCCCCCATGATTTAATTTTCTCCCACTGGGTCCCTCCCATAACATGTGGGAATTATGGGAGCTACAATTCAAGATGAGATTTGGGTGGGGACACAGCCAAACCATGTCAAGCACTTATTTAAGTGAATAATCACTACAACCTCTTATGTAACAATTCTGATACAAATAATATTAATCTTTTCTCTTCTTCTGAAATGTATTCTCCCCGTGAGAGAAGAGGAATTTAAGGAGTGTCGAGGAGAATTTTAATACCTAGATCCTGTTTAGATCTGTACTAGATCACTTAGTACTTAGAAAACATTCAAGAGTTTAAAAATTATTATTACCATGTTTAACCTTGACACCATACCTAGAGCAAAGAAGAGTTTTGCTGTATTTTCTAATGTGTCTTAATTTCAGTTCTCCTTAAAAAAATAGATAATCCTATTTGGATATTTTTTGGAAACTAACCCATGGAAAGGATAAAAATATTTCAGTGCTGGTTAAGACTTACTGTGTAACTTTAAAGACATTTTTCAGAGCTTTAGTTTCCTCATCTGTAGAATAAGGTACTATGTAACGAAATTGCTGCCTTTGTAGATAAAAAAAATATTGGAATATTACTTAGTTTTATAGGTGAGAAATCTGAGACCCAAAGAGTCAGTTAATAATATAACTTAGAAGGCTTTTTAAAGACTGTACATTAAGATGATTTCCTTGAAACTAGATAATTATATGGAAATTCACTTAATCAGGCACAGTAAAACATAATATATTGTAAAATGCTGAAAAAGAATGAGCTCATGAGAAAGCCTCTTTCTCTTTCTGTGTACCTGGCACACAGTAATCATGCAGTAAAGGGGTTTGTCGTTAGTATTGTTATTCTAGTTAAAGGAGGAAGTAACTGTCTTCTAAACAAGTTTTATTTATTCAAAAATTAAGAAGAGCAGTAGTCCAATTCACTGAACTCCAGATATACAAATAAAATTAAGAGCACAAAAGCCAGATGGAACAACTTGCGATGATGCTTTTACCCAGTGCAAGTTTTCATTTTTGATAAATATGACATTTCAGAAAATGTTTGCAGTATCAGTTACTAATCAAGATTACTTTGTTATTCAGTTTAATCAGTTTAAGAGAAGGGATCCTAAAATTATGTATTTTATTTGGCCAAATAAAATCAAATGATTGTCCCACTTAAAAATGGTACAATTTTTTTTTTTTAGACGGAATCTCACTCTGTCACCAGGCTGGAGTGCAGTGGCGTGATCTCGGCTCACTGCAACCTCTGACTCCCTGGTTCAAGTGATTCTCCTGCCTCAGCCTCCCGAGTCGCTGGGATTTACAGGCACATGCCACCATGCCCAGCTAATTTTTGTATTTTCAGTAGTTTCAACAAGGGGTTTCACCATGTTGGCCAAGATGGTCTTGATCTCCTGACCTCGTGATCCGCCCACCTCAGCCTCCCAAAGTGCTAGGATTACAGGCATGAGCCACCGTGCCCCGCCAATGGTACAGATTTTTAAAAGGAAATACCTCAAGCTGTAATTAATTGCATATAATTCTGTTGAGCTCTATTTAGAGCAAATGGACTTTCAATATATTAGTCTTTGTGCCTCAGTTTCCTCATTTGTAACATGGGGATAGTCATAACGCTCATTTCCAAGGAGTGTTTTCAGGTTAGAAATTATACATTCAAATCACTTAGTACTTAGAAAACATTCAAGAGTTTAAAAATTATTATTAGCATGTTTGCGGTTATTCTAATTTTATCTAACTAACTTTTATGAAATTAAGGCATATCTGCTGTCTTCTACTCAGTGATTTTTGAGACCCGGATGTCATTGGAAGGGCTCCTGTAGTCCTTGGAGTCCCACCTTGTGAAGTGGCATTTAATAGTTTTAGAATGCTGCCTCACATTTGCTGAATAACCTATTGCCCTTTAATTGGAAACAGCATATGGAAATCATCACGAAGAGAAGAAATCATTTCAAGCACTTTGAAAATATAAAAGAAAATAAATTGTCCTTGGTAAGTAAATATAGGACACTGATCTCTGAATAGTCAGGAAAATTCTGTGCCAGGGCCTTTGGCAAAGGCTAATGAGGATTTTGTTCCCTCCCCCACCTCCACCCCCACATGCTTGTCTTCTAAATTACAAGACCTTATTACTATATAAGGCTGCTTTTTCTAAGTAAATGATAATACATTCAACTCCTTGGAGTTTTTAGCTTTTCAAACAGTGGTGAGTTATTTTCATCAGTCGAGATCAAGCTAAAATGAAAAACAAAATCTGTGAGAGTCGGATAATACCATAGAAGTTACCTTTATTTTTTTCTTTCATGAAAAACATAGCAGTTTCCATTGGATGGTGCTCAGCATAACTGCTATTAGATTGACTTGTGTAAATATTATATTACATTTATCGGTTGCTGTAGGGAGTCAAAATGCAGTGATCCATTTTCAGGTCTCCAGTATTTTGGCTGCTGGCCTGCCAGATGGGGAAATGTTGATCAGAACAATTTTATCTCAGTGCAGAGCTGTGGTCAGGGAGAGGAAGTTCATTACTCCATCCTACCCGCATGCTACAATGACCAGATAGCTCCATGTTGACTAGGTTACTGTGGGTCCCTTCAGCTGCGGACACAGGACTGAGAGTAGACACAAATTCAATTAAGGATCCCATCATGTTATTTATTCCATTATGTTCTTCATGATATCCAATTACCCTGACTCTCTGTTTCTCTTTCTTATTTGAGCTGGAAAATTCCTTCTTCTCTCTATTCACTGCTCCTATTCTCTTAATTGCCATTCTTTCTTTATCTAGATTTTTGAAGTCTCTTCTCCCTGTAGCTTCCTAAGCAAATTGAGACATTGAACCTAATATCGCCTTACCTGCAGAAGAAACAGAAGTGGTACCTGATGTGTGTGTGTGCGTGTGTGTGTGTGTGTGTCTGTGAGAGAGAGAGAGAGAACACAGGAAGTCCGGCATAAATCTGTCTTAATTGATTTTCATGGAACTGTAAAAACATAGTATGGAAAGTTATTTCACCCTTATAGACATTGTGTGATTTTCCAGGAGTGCGTTTCAACAGTCCAGCACATCTCTCATAGAAAAATCTCTTTTCAGGTTTGTAAGATCCTTTACTTCCTTTCATTGTACTTATCCTCCTCCCTTTCCCTGGCCAGCCACACAACTTCCTTATCAGACAAGCTTGTTTTGTCTAGTGAGGCTGCTCTCATGTTCTCCTGAATGTGTCATCCTCATTTGTCACCCGAGTCTCGAATTCTCACATGGGCTCAGTGTCCTGGAGCCACGGTGGCAAGGGAGACTGCAGTCATTGGAACCCTTTCCTATTTGATACTTAGATATTATTGTTTTGATATAGCTAATGTTATGATATAGGGGCTTGTTCCTCACTGGTATTTCTAGTTAAATGATTTGCATTTTTTTGCACTTATGTTGTCACCCTGCTCTTTGAAAGTAGGAACCCCATCTTTTCATAGTTCTTGGCATATTACAAAATAATGCTTTCAAGATGAATGATTAACATATGCCACATAACATGTATAACTAGATACTTAAGGCAGGCTGATATACCTGTTGAAAGGTTGTTGAATAAATGAATGAATGACTGTACATCTTTTATTGTTAGTTCAAGAGTGGCAACTATTGAAAAGCCTGATTTTGCTGAGGTTTTGCTTTTTTTTAAAAAAATAAGCAACTTATATAAAGAGTAATTAGAAGAGTGATATATATATATGTTGTACATGTGTGTGTTCAGATTTTTAATGTAATAGTATGTAGTAACAAGATGCAAATCCAAGAGCTTCAGTGGAAAGACTGTTGATTGAACTGAGAATCAGGAGACCTGAATTCGAGGTATGAGTCTAATTTCTCTTACCTCCATTACCTTAACTATATCACTGACACTACCTGGCTCTCAGTTGCTCTATTTATAAAACAAAAAATTTAGAGTTGATGATTTTAAGGTTCTTTTTGATTAGAGCTATTTTAAATCAAGACAATAATGAGAGAAAGAAAATGCCCATGAGTGGTCATATTGTCTCAGTGAATTTGAAAAATAAGGAAGTGTTTTCTGGAAAGGATAATTATTTATACAGTATTGTTTGGGGATTTTATTTGAATTTCTCCAAATTATAATTTGTATCTTTGTTTAAAAAAGAGAAGAGCTCTCAAAATGCTACCAATTTAGTGTGTACCTTACTAGATCTTTTTTTATGCCTAAAATGGTATTTTAGCAAATTACTATTGAATTCAGCCTTTTCCAATGCAGCTCCTTTTTAATTATTTTATTATTTTTATTTTTCTTAGGAAACAGTTTGCCCAGGCTGGACTGTAGTGGCACCATCATAGCTCACTACAGCCTCCAACTCCAAGTGTTCCTCCCACCTCAGCCTCCTAAGTAGCTAGGACCACAGGTGTGTGCCACCACACCCAGCTAATTTTTTTTTTTTCTATTTTTTGTAGAGACAGGGTCTCGCTTTGTTGCCAAGGCTGGTCTTGAAATCCTAGTTTCAAGCTATTCTCCCACCTCAGCCTTCCGAAGTGCTGGATTACAGGTGTGAGACACTGAGCCTGGCCCTTTTGAAAAATAAATGCTTAATTATTTTCTTTTCCTTATAACTTTTTAAAATAATGAAGCAGTTCCCCACCATACGAAAATGTAATCAATATGTTTTTTAAAAAACGTCATTAACAGTGCATGGATTTAAACACAATTGATCTTTTTATAAATCTAACTTCTTTACTCAAACTTTGGATCCAATATGATTTATAGCTTTTATGTTTTGTTTGCCTTCCCCCACTAGAAATCCCAAAGAAACAACTGATACAGACCATCTTGTAGAGTTAAAACCATTCATTTCCATTATTAAAACTGCTACAATACTCTGACTTAGCTGTCTACTTCTATGAAGCATTCAAATTTGATGGAAATGGGAGAAGAGAGGATATGTTTGACATTGTTCATCTATTCCTTAAACCGCTCATTTGGGTAAATATGTCAAAGAGAAAAAGGAGTCATTGGTATACTTGGACTTGATTAGTATAGTGCCACATCTTAAAATGCACTGTTTCAATCAAATCATGGCTGTGTCCTACAAATGACTTCTTTACAGTCTATACTGTAAACCCCTAAAATAACTAGAATTGAAAATGGCTTTAATTTTTGAAATATAAAAATGACACATTGTCATTATAAAAGTAATTCAAACATTACAGAAAAGGATAAAAATAAAGGAAAAACTATACCAGCCAGAAATACCACATTATTAACACTTTGGGGAGAAAGTTTTCAGACCCCTCTGTACACACATCAACTCACAATCACTCTTACCTTCCATTCCATGAAAAGGAATGGTACTTAATGTGCTTTCTTATTAAATGACACATCATGGACGTCTTTCCATGTCCATGAATACTGATTTACATCATAATTTTTAATGGCTGTGTAGTATTATACATTATATAGATTGACCGTTATTGACTTAACTAATTCCCTATTGAACATGTAGGTTATTTCTAATTTTTAACCATTACAGATAGTGTTGAGATGAATACTTTTGTATATGTAAAAGATATTTACGCACTTTTCTGATCATCCCTCTAGAATAAATTCCTAAATGTGGAGTTGCTTAGTATGAGAATATGATAAATGATGGCTTTCTTAAAATTATTTCCTTTCTTTTATTTTATATTTTTGTAAAAATTAAGAATATGTGAATTAATTTGAAGGCTGTTTTACACATAAAGAGAACTTTTCTTATCATGTACTTGTTACTCATTATATTGGCCAATACAGATTTCTTTTGGCTGATAAAATAAGTATATGTCAATGTCAAATAATCTAGGTAACATACTTCCATTTCTAAACATTTTAAAATATTAATAGTGATTTGGTACTTTAAAAATTGACTTGAAAAAATTTTTGATAGAAGAAAATTCTCACATTTTAGTTCGATTAGATTTCCAGATCGTTTCAGGATAAAAAACATTCGTAAGTATGATCAATGTTCTAAAAGCAATGGGCAGGAAGGTATTAAAGCTTAGGAAGTCTGGGTTTGCAGCTTTTCATGGAATTATCAAGACAGGATAAATCAAATAAAAAAATCTATCCTAAAAAATAATTAAATTCTGGTATCTCTCTTTTGGGAGATACGTGAAAATAGGTTGTGCACATGATAAAGCCTTATAGAACAGGAGTTATAAATGCCGTCATACCACTGCCCTACTAAGGTTATAGGGTCCGTTTCAAGAGAAGGCCGTTGAAATTTGGATCTTGTAATTAATTTTTTGTTCTAATTCACAAAAGTACTATAAAAACCTTTATTTTGTTTTTAATATAGTTTACAGAATTTAGTTTTAATATTGCTTAAAGATTCCTGACCTATCTGGTTGTTAGAAAAAGGAACTAAATAATGTGTTTTTTAAAAGATTGGGCCCCCGTAACATAAAGGCATAGAGGAATGGCCATCTTCTGATCCATTGTTCAATTATCTGGCACTGCAGATGTACCCCTCAACATGCCCAGCAGCCTGACCTGGAGTCCAGATTCATGGGAGTGACTCTGCAATGAAATATGGACACACGGCTCATATGTACCCTCGAACATCCTTGTGACATTAACAAAAAATACCTGTGATTGCAAATTCACACTGAGGGATGCCTAGTATAGAGGATAAAGCTCTTTTCAGGGTTGTGAAACATACGGGGGATGAGAACTGACATACACGTAGACATCTATTCCATTTACATGGCTCTTAATTGAGTTTTGTCTTGGTAATAGGGCTGGTCCTGAGTAAGCCTAGGCTAAAAAGATGTCCCTGGGGGTATTGACCTACAGGAGTTGATATGTTTGGGGGTGTGGGAGAGGGGAGAGCATGTGTGAGATATGAAGATGCCTGTTCCCTGGACTTGCCCAGGAACACTCCAGTGGAGAGAGAGTACGTGGGAACTTAGGAACTGTTTTCCATTAAACTCAGGACACTAATTGTGCCAGAGTCCAGGTGCTAATGTGGGACACAGCACTGTGGAAGGGTGTTTTCCCACTCTTTTTTCTCATACATAGACAGCTTTGATAGTGGCAGATGCAGAATAAATTGTGGGCCCTGCCCACGCTTGGGAAGGCTGGAGCAGAAGATGTCAGTGAACTTATTCCTGTGCATGGAGGAGCAGAGGGAGATGCTGCATCTGCTGCCGGGGCTCTTGAGCCAGCAAACTTGCAATTATTAGTGTCCTGGGAGCATTGCCATTACACTTATATCTGTGTGATTTCCAGGGCCCAGCCTGAGTCCATATCTCTGACTCTTGACAGAAGTTGGTATCCACATACCAAAGGTTATCTATAAACTAAAATAATTACAAATGAGACGACACCGCAGTTGTACAGTGGCATTTACTGATCATTCACAATGCGTTCCTGATCTCTTCCATTTGTTGAAAACAGATGACCTGAGCATAATTCCACCCCCTTCCCCATTATTTTTTGTTTTCCATTTCCAACGTCTATTTTACTATGACCTCCAAATCATTCATGTAGCTAAAGTATTGACGGTTCACCAGTCCCTTCTGGGTTGTTGTGTTCAATCTCAGATTTCTGTCTTTGCAGCAACACATGTGGCTATTTCTCACTGTTGTTTTCTCTTAAAGATTGTTCCAGGTGCAGAGTTTGACATGATGCTTCTCCTCTCCTAAACCCTGACTTGTAGCCTCCTTGTGACAGGAGACATTATGTAAAAAAGATGTCAGGGGAGAATGAAGGGAGAATGAGATCAGTCAACTTTGTTTTTCCTTTCTGTGCTGTGATTGTTTTTCCCTCTCAATTTTCTTTTGACCTTGCATAACACGCCTATACTCATATCTGAAGGAGGTGCGTTGCACCGGGAATTTCCATTTTTACAGCTTTCAAAATTCCCTTAATCTTTATGAGCCCAAATGTTTAGAAGTTACTTGTTTAATTATGTGTGTGTGTGTGTGTTTATGAGAAATATGGTGCACTTAAGTATTGCAAATTTCTGCTAATTGATAAGATAGACAGGGAAAATCAGTGTGCTGATTTCCAAACAAAGAGAAGAGTGCTTTTAGGGACTAGTGGCTTCAGAGAATTTTCACCAACTACCTTCACATTTCATAGAAAAGCTATATTGTTTAAAACTTTAGCATGTGGGTGGATGAGTGTGTGTTTGTGTGTGTGTGTGAGTGTGCAGTCTAATCCAATAGTTCATTCTGAGCTAGGTTAAAAAGAACACAGCACCAGAACAAATTCTTGTTTCTTATTTATGTACCCAACTACTTTTCTTTTTTACTTTTTTTTGAGAATCATCCTTTAAAGTCCAGTTGTTTTCATGACTCCTCTCCCAACAAAACATGAGTACTTTATTTTCTAAAATTGTCAATGCCTTGTGCTGTCAATGCCTGTGCAGTTGGTGCTTAATGATATAGTGTTAATTTATTTTGACTTTTCCCAAGTGTATGTACTTTTCCCCATAGAAAATGGCGAGTCTCTTACAGACAGGAAATATACTTTATATTTCTTTTATCTGATGATTTCTCACACATAAAAGATCTTTAATAAGTATCTAAGAGATCTATCCTGGATTTTCCTATTTATTGTCTGTCCTTTAGTCCTCGGATGAAGCAAAGATAAAAAATTTTTGGTTTAAGAAAATCTAATTGGTACGAGGAGGAAATGTTGAAGCTAATGCATCTTTGAGTTGAGATATCAAATCATTTTATGCTATGCCTAGGTCCATTATCAGGGATAATTGGGAATTGCCTGCATTATAACTGCATGAACTGCCTTGGTTATCTATTAATATGGATCAGTCACAAGGAATTTCTCTGCTTCTCTCTTATAAACTCCAGATGTACGTCTGAGATTAATTCAATCTTTGCTTTCCCCGATTCACCATTTGTTTTTCTATTCAATCTAGTCACCTTTCAAGCAGCTGGAGTGGAAATACCAGAATGTTCATCTCTGATGCCTGATCCTTTCGTTCTTTCTTTTGTTGTTTTATTTTCTTTGTGCATGCATAAAAGTTTCTTGGCAAGTTCCCATGATAGCATTAAAAACTCTATAGTCTCTGTAGTTTGCATGAAGTCTCTGTGTAAGAGTCAAAGGAAAACTATGCATGAAAGATCATAGGGAAGGTTTTGCCATCTCACCATCATGGGAAGAAATAAGAGATACCAACATTTAGAAGCTCTTTAGATCATTAATTCTAGGAGTTGAGATGAGACATGAACTAAAAATTATTTTGTTTACAAATCCCATTTTCATTCAGCAACTCCCCCCCTCCAATCCCACAATAGAGCTAAATACAATGAACACATAGACTTATACAGTAAAGAGAAATTTCCCTAAAGGCACAGAGATGAATGACAGGTTAAGCCAATTGACAGGATCAAGTCTAGGTGCAAAATAAGATTGATTAAAGAATGCCAATGAGTGAAAATTATGGAAAGCATTAATGGGCTCATAAAATCTTAGAATTTGAAAGAGATATCTCTTTTGATATAACCTGCTTCTAGGTAGAGGACTTCTTTTTACAACATCACTGATAAATAAACCACTAGCCTTTAAAAAATTAGTTCTGATCACGAGATGCAATGAAATCTAAAGAATTAATTGTTGATCATCATTAAACAAAGAAATTTGTTTGTTTGTCAGAGGCAGGATCTCACTCTGGTTGCCCAGGCCGGAGTGCAGTAGAGTGACTATGGCTCACTGCACCTCAACTTCCTGGGCTCGAATGAGCTTCCCATTTCAGCCTCCCCAGTAGCTGGGACTACAGGTGCATGCCACCAGACCCAGCTAATTTTTGTACTTTTAGTAGACACAGGGTTTCACCATGTTGCCCAGGCTGGTCTCAAACTCCTGGACTCAAGTAATCCACCTGTTTCAGCCCCCTAAATTGCTGGGATTATAGGCATGAGCCATGGTGCCTGGCCAAAAGGAAAAAATTGTTTAAAAATTTAGGTAAATCTTCCTTCTTATAATTTCTTATTGATTTAAGTTCTACCTTTAGTAAAAACTTGACTGTCTACTCCTTGTTTCTATGACAGCTGTTCAAATAAAGACTTTTCTATAAATTCTAACCATTTTTTCCCTCTAATTATCCTTCCAATGGAACTTATCTACCTGAAAGCCCTAGCTAGAACAGTACATGCAAAATCCACATTTAATTTAAATAATTATATTTTAAGGTAGTACCAACTAGATAGTAGTTCAGAAAAAAATAGGACTTTAGGGTTTTAGTTGGGCAAGCTCAGTATAATTAGCATTGAGACTCAGCAGTTATAAAACAATCTCAGGCATAATTAACAGAAAAACGTTTAGCTAAACACATGGTTATTATTTTTGTTTGTAGCTTCAACTTCACTGTAAGAATTATTTTTTCATGTAATTTTCCAAGTTGGGTCTATGACCATTAGAAGAGTTATTTCAAGGCAAAATCAACCATACTTCCCAGGTTTATGGATTCCAACTAATTGTTAGCATTAGCTTTTGATATTCATTTTAATTCAGTAAGCATATACTTACTGTTTGCTTTGTGCAACAGTACTATGCTAGGTTCTAGGGTGAAAAAGACATTATCCTTGCTCTTAAGAAATTTTCATGGAAAAGGCAGATTTATAACTATTATACAAGATGACAAGGCTTTAAAGAGAGGAATATATTAATATAATGTATTATGAAATACAAATCATGAAAAAATTAATTCTGCATAGTATCATCAGGGAGCAATAAAGAGAAGTGTTAACATTCAAACTAGACCCTGATGTCTGAATTGGACCGAGAACTTCCAGACCTAGGGAGTACCTGGAGCAATGACACAGAAGGCTTGCAAGATCATGGCATGTCAATGAATGGCAAGAAGTCTGTAGAGACTAAACTTTTTCAAGAACATTCCAGCTCTGGTGTTATAGTTTCAGTTACAGTATTGTGAGAAAGGTCAGTGAATTATGTATAAAACAGAATTCAAATAGCTAGAATTCAAAATGCTCATCTTGAGCCTTCTTTCATTTATTGTTTGTGTGTGTGTGTGTGTGTGTGTGTGTGTGTGTGCAGCAGAAAAACTCATTGGTGTGTTCCTGTAATAACATTCAAGCTCTACACTCATTTTCCATAGTTTGTGTGAGGTCTTTGTGTCAGGGTCGCAGGAAAACATTGTGAGAAAAGCCATAATGAAGATCTTGCTACCTCACCATCATGGAAAGGGTTAAAAGATACTTTTACAACTTCTGAGTTTATTAACTCAAAGAACCAGGTTTAAAAGTCTCTGTCTTCTTCCTTTCAAATGCATCATCTTATTCATTAAAAATTATTTCTCCCAAATTCTTATTAAAGATTTCTAAACAGGGAGATGACATTATCTGATGCATACTTGGGTAGATGACTGATGGCAATGTGGAAATGGATCAAAGGGTGGAGCTTGGAGAATGGTGATTACCATACGCCATGTGAGAAATAATAGGATTCTAGATCACGCCCATAGCACCAGGGCTGAAAAGGAAGAAACATAGACAAATTAGAAGGATATAGGATATGGATGGTGGGGTCAGGAGAGGAGTGGACAGTAATTTGATTGTTTCATCTTGGATGACAAAGGGATGGATGTTGGATTTATTGAGAGATTGTATTAGAGGACGATGAGCAATTATAGAAAAAAATAAATTTAATTTTAAATAAATTGAATTTAAGTTATCTATAGAGCATACAGAAGGAGATTTTTAATGCAGAATTAAGAGTATCAGTCTGGGTTCAGGAGAATGGCCAGGGCTAGAGGAAATCTAGGGATAATAGCTGAAATACCTGAAGCAAGAAGCCAAGAGAACAGAGTATGTACAGAAAATTGGAGAAGACCAATAATTAAAGTATGGACAGAGAAAGAAGAGTCAATGGAAAAAAGTTAAAATAAGTCATTAGAAAGATAGAAAGAGGATAAGTATTTCTGGTAAGTTTAAAAAGGAGAGTATTTCAAGGAATTATTTATTAGTGACAGATATTGTGGGTTCAATGAAGAGGTTGGTAAGAAGACCACACATTTGATATCTGGGAGGGTTTTTTTGTGATATTTCTCAATAAAATGATAGGGATGGAAGCCACATAATAGTTGGCTGAGAAATGAGAATTAGAAGACAGCAAGTGGAGACATAGAGTCTAGATAATTATATTTAAAGTTTGGCAGTAAAGGAAAGACAGCAAATAAAATGTAATTGGTGAGAAAACAGGAAGAGTGAAGATGGCACCTACTTGAGGGAAAAGATGGCCCAGGAAAGTGTTTCTTAGAATATTGGTAGGAGAGGGAGAAAGACTGAGTAAGACAGGGTAGTTACTCTTGTAGCAAAACTAGTGGAGTTGGAAAGGATTAGAATTCACTGAAGTTTGTGCTTAATATGTTTATGTTTTATATACTTCATTTTGATATTTGGAAGTATTTATTATATAATGAAAAATACTAGATGCAAAAAAGTTCTACAAAAAAAAAAACAGAAAAATCAATGAATAAGGTCACTGTCTGAAAGCCTTCTAAAGCATTTGAGCCATAGATCATGAATTTTTAGTTATTTAAATTTATTTTTAAATTTTACTTTGGATAACAGGAATACGAGAGCTGAAAAATTATAATTCTTAGTTCATAGCACACTTCTTAAATTATTTCTAATAATATCATAAACATATGTAATACCAACTCCCCAAACAAAAACTAAGATAATACCTGATGTCTGACATTAACGACCTCAACCCCAATATTATCACCCTGCCTCTCCCCACCTGAGGTAACTGTCATTCTGAATTCTATTCCATTACTTACCTTTCTTTTTATATAGTTTTATTGAATATTTACACATTCCTAGAAAGTAGATATTTTTATTTTAGTTGGTTTTAGCTTTTTTAAAAGGGTACCATGCTGTATGTAATCTTCGGGACTTGTTTTTCCACTTAAGATATTACCACTAGGATTTATCCATATGGCTGTAACTCTGGTTAATT
Organism: Homo sapiens; assembly: GCF_000001405.40. Classification (NCBI taxonomy): domain Eukaryota; kingdom Metazoa; phylum Chordata; class Mammalia; order Primates; family Hominidae; genus Homo; species Homo sapiens. Next base: position 118,915,527 of record NC_000004.12, read on the forward strand.
TATTTTTTCTAATGTGTAATATTTCATTGTGTGAGTATCCCGCAGTTCACTCACCATTCTCTTGTTGATGGGCATCTGGGTTGCTCCAGGTTTTTGCTATTGTGAACACGTGTTACTAGAACATGTTTCCTCTTGTACATGGGCAAAGACTTCTTTTAGTTGTATACCCAGGAATGGAATTGCTGGGTCATAGGTTTGTAAATGATCATGCTTAGGAGAAAATGCCAAACTCTTGTTCAAGTTGATGCATGATTTTACATTTCCACCAACAATATAAAAGGCATCCTGCGGCTCTACAACTTCTTAATGCTTCATTTTATTAGACTTTTTATTTTTTTATTTTTATTTTTGCCATTTTGCTAGATATAAAATGGTACCTAATTGTGGTCTTGATTTCTATTTTCATGACTACCACGTAAATTAAATATCTCTTCATACATTTATTGGCTGTGTGTTCTTTAGAACATTTTTACATTAAATTGTTTGTGTTATTGATTAGTACAAGTACTTTATATAATTTTCATATTACGCTTTGTTCATTGTATATATGGTGAATGACCTTTCTATATTATAACCCATATTTTCATGTTATTTAAGGTTTCTTTTGATGAATAACAATTTTAATATGTCAAACTTAGGGTTTTTTGGGTTTTTTTTTTTTTCTGAGACAGAATCTTGCTCTGTCATCCAGGCTGGAGTGCAGTGGTACAATCTTAGCTCACTGCAGCCTCAACCTGCTGGGCTCAAGTGATCCTCTCACCTCAGTCTCCTGAGTAGCTGGGAATAAAGGCACGCACCACCACACCCAGCTGATTTTTGTATTTTTTGTAGAAATGGGGTTTCACCATGTTGGCCAGGCTGGTCTCGACCTCCTGGGCTCAAGTGATCCACCCCCCTCAGCCTCCCAAAATGCTGGGACTACAGGGGTGAGTCACAGAGCCTGGCCTATTTTTTTCTTTTATAGTTAATGGTTTCAGGTTTTGTTAGAGAAATCTTTTGCTACTCCAAGTCTAAGAAATATAAACCTATTACTTACTATTAGATCTTGAGTTTTAAAATTATTATTTTAAAATGTTTTCTTAAAATGTTTTACCATATATTTTTATAATAAACTTTTTATTCTTAGATATAATGCTGTTTTTGAAGTTTCAGAGCATTTCTGCTTTCTTTTTCTTCTTCCTCTTCCTCTTTTATTTTTCTTTCTTTTTTTTTTTTTTTTTTCTAGAAACAGGGTCTTACTCTGTCCCCCGGGCTGGAGTGCAGTGATGCAGTCATAGCTCACTGCAGCCTTGAACTCCTTGGTTCAAGTAATCCTTCAACTTCAGCCTCTTAAGTAGCAAGGGCTACAAAGATGCGTCACCATGCCTGGCTAATCTTTTTTTATTTTTAGTAGAGACAGAGTCTTGCTCTGTTGTCCAGGCTGGTCTCCAGCCCCTTGCCACAAGTAATCCTCTTGCCTCAGCCTCTCAAAGTGTTGGGATTACAGGCCTGAGCCACCGTGCCCCGCCCTTCTGCTGTTTTCAAAAAATTTGTTTTAATCATCTTGGAGATGTAAAGTCATTTGATTAAAACACAAAGAAACAGGCCAGGCACAGTGGCTCACACCTGAAATTCCAGCACTTTGGGAGGCCAAGGCGGGTGGATCGCCTGACGTCAGGAGTTTGAGACCAGCCTGGCCAACATGATGAAACCCCGTCTCTACTAAAAATACAAAAAAATAGCTGGGTGTGGTGGCGAGTGCCTGTAATCCCAGCTACTTGGGAGGCTGACAGGAGAATCGCTTGAACCCAGGAGGCAGAGTTTGCAGTGAGCCAAGATCGCACCATTGGACTCTAGCCTGGGTAATAAGAGTGAAACTCCATCTCGAACAGAAAACAAACCAACCAACAAACAAAAAAAACAAAGAAACAAACAACAAAAAAGAAACAAACAAAAGAAACTCACCTTAAATTCAGAGAATTCAACCATGGTAATCTCTTCAATGAATAATAGTGTCAGAGTTTTGTGATTCAATAGATGAAAATCCAGCTTTTTAATTTTTGAATTCTTCTTCTGTAGCTTTGCTGTTAGAAATAGAAACAATTTGGTCAAAACCAAAACGTGGTTTCATGCTATGTAAATACATGTGCATATATGAATGTTTGTCCCTTATTATATGTGACTTCCAGGCAGCAATGCTAATACAATATTTCAATCTGTAAGAACGATTTTGTGTTACTAAATAGGCATCATCATTTATGCTTTTGAAAAGAGATTTTTTATTATGCCATGAGTCATTTCTCTAGTCCATTCTGAGACACTGATAAAAAAGATTTGTGATAGAAATACTTTGGTATAATGTAAGGAGAATAACATGATTGCAAAATATTGGAAAAATAGCTAAATATATAGTAGCAGGCCCTATATACTAAATTTTTACATTCTGTCACTTTCTAAATTCAAAGAACAAAAAAGTTAGAAGTACAAACTGAATTGGCAGTTTTCCCATCAAATTGTTGAGTTAGGTAGAAGAGAAAGTAGGTGAAGAGTGCCTGCTGCATGAGCTTACCTTTAGCAATCCTTCCCATTCAGCTTTTTATACAAATTCTTTGCCATACAAATTCCACATTATAAAAACTTTCTAGAAACTGAAAGTTCTTTTTTTAAACTTTAAAAAATCCATTTTTTAAACAATGTTTGCCAACATATAATTCCAAACTGAAACCAGATGTCTTAATGTTTGCTGAAAAAAGTTATTTTATCATTTCACATGTACCCAGGTGTGTATATTTATATAATTTGTTTATATGTAATAGATTATGGTATATGAAAAACATTAAACAAACCTACAGATGTGTTTGGCTAAGTGGTTCATCCAATAGGTAATGTATTTTACACATTATTTCATAGTATTCTGTTCGTTGGTTGTTGAGACTATGTTCAAATAGAAATGGAAAGGGGTTTATCACTAGAAACAGGTTTGATTTCCTTAAAAGGCAGTTGTTTCTTTTTTCCTTTGCTTCTCTGGAGAATTGGCTGCAAACTGGGAATAGTTCTCCTCTGACTCATTTGCAGAGCAGCACTAGAGCATATAGAGTTCAGATAAAATTATAATGAAACATTCTAATTTGATGATGTGGAACAAGAGAGTAGTTTCTAAAAGAAAATTTTACAGATTGCGTTTACTTAAATCTGCTTTGCAGATAAAGTAAGTTGTTCCTTAAAAACAACTTAGTCCAAACATCGGGATAAGATTTTCATTTGCCTTTCAAACTCAATATTGCTAGTTTGCCAGAAGACATGACATACACAGTTATATTAGGTAGCAATAATTTAATTCTTCATCAAGTATTTTGAAGGTAATGCAATGACTATTTTAGATTTCCAAGTCCATCAAAATACAGATTAAAAAGTTTTAAAATGTTTTTAAAAATATTATTAATTGTACCAACCAGACAGAATATGCTAAAATTAGGACTATTATGAAACTAAATATACATTTTAAAAATTCTATGGCAGCACCAGCAGAAATGTTTTGCCATTTTTAGCATGGTGTTCCTAATGAATATATGCTTTGAATACAGACACTGATTCAGTCATGTGCACAAGTATTCAAAAATACTCATTGAATATTTAATCAAAAAGGCTTGCTTATTGAATACTTACATAATATGAGGGAGAGCAAATATTAGGCATTAATATGACAGGAAGCGCTAGTCGATCATTGCACTCATTCTTCTGAGCCTGGATTGAGCCTCCCTGTCTCTCAAGCTTGTTTCCTTGTCAGTCATTTGGAATTGATGAGAATTGGACTTTGAGCTGAAACCTCTTTGTAGTCACTGTACTTAGCCATACTCCCCTCTCATAATTTGGCTACTTTTTGCATACCGAAGTAATTGACTGAAAAAATAAAAGTTTATTCATCTAGGTATCAACTTTTAAAGCTGTTTTGATGTCAGTAAACATCAGTTAAGGGCATACCATAAATCAAACTGGGCTCTAGGGATGCCAGGATGAATATTATAAAGTTCTTCTCTTCAAAAAGCTTACATATTATAGAGGCAGTCAAATATGTGACCCAATTAGTGTAATATGATTTTGCAAGTGTTATTGTAGAAGATGGTATAGGGGACAGTGGAGGCACAAAAGAGGATGGAGAGAGATCGGAAAGTTTTCTAGAAGGTGGAATATATAGCTCGAAATATGAGAAGGTGTCTTTCAGGATGGAGGAGAGAATCACAGAAAGTGTTCGAGGCAACAGCCTTAAGGCATAAACCAGCACGATCTGTTAAAGAGACTGAGTACAGGAGTTGGCTACAACCAGAGGCTCACTATGCAGCAAACAAGATGTAGTGGAGAGTTAGGCAGGAGCCTCCTCATTCAGGGACTTGTGATCCCTGCTAAGAAGCTGGAGTTTGATAATGGCAATGGGAATCCACCACAGATATTTAAATAATGGGAATAATATGATAACTGGTGGAGAAATTATTGGACGGATGAGAGACTGAAGGCTGGGAGAGCAGTTATAAAATTATCATTTTAGTATAGGTGGCAGAAATTAGTGGTAGAGAAGAGGAGATAGATACCATTGATGCAAAATAATTGGATCCTGTAGGATAAGGTGGTTGAAGAGTTGTGGGAGGCAATGAAGGAGAAAGAGGAATCTGGGATGACTTGGATATTTGAGCGGAATTTAGAGTAATTTGTGAAAACAGCGACTATAGGAGAAGGAATAAGTATGTAAGGAAAGATAAGGAGTTTACTTTTATGTATTTTTAGAGTGAGTTTGCTGAAGGACAGCCAGGGTGCCTAGTAAGCAATTTTATATAAGAACTCAGAGCTCAGGAAAAGGGAAGGACTAGAATTCATCTGTGTGCAGCTGGTGGTTGAAGTCATTGGAGTGAGTGAGATCACCCATGTCATAAAAAACAACTTTTATCTAAGTGATTCGACTGTGCACGTATTAGAGTAAATACAAGAACACTTGGCACCCACAGTAGGCACAGCACCAGATACTTGTTCTGTCTTGGACAGAACTCTAAGAACAAAATAATCCACCATGGAACAGAGGAAAGGCAATAATTTTCTGTCTTTCTCTAAACTGTAAAGTAATTTAACCATCAAAAGAACTCTTTGTAGTTTGAGTGTAATGTAAGAAATATGTATTCCATACCCCAGATTTATTAAAATTGCATATTGGAACAATTTTGCTGAGGTTAAAATAAATCTTAAAACAAATAAATATTTTCACAGTACACATATGAAACCATTTTTTTTTGGACACCAATCATATAATAACCAGGCAGTAGGTGGGCAAACTGGCCAAATCAAGAATGATGTCTGGCTGGGGAAGATTGTTATTAAGATCCACCTGATTTCTTTTCTTTTTTCCTTTTTTTTTTTCTTGTTAGAGAGAGGGTCTAGCTCTGTCACCTATGCTTGAGTGCAGTGGTGCCATCATAGCTCACTATGATGTCAGACTCCTGGGATCTGGAATCAAGTGATCCTCCCTCCTCAGCTTCCCTAGTAGCTGGGACTACAAGCGCGCATCAACACGCATGGCTATTTTTTACTTTTATTTTGTAGAGACAGAGTCTCGCTGTGTTGTCCAGGCTGGTCTTGAACTCCTGGCCTCAACAGATCCTCCCACCTTGGGCTCCCAAAGTGCTGATATCACAGGTGTGAGCCACCACACCTGGCCCAACCTGAGTTCTTTACCTAGTCCTTAAATGTTGGTATTCTGTAGGATTTCATGGTCAGTCCACTGTCTTCTCACTCTACATGCTATCCCTTAGAGATTGTTTCATTCTCATAAGTACTACTACCATCATTATATTCATGATACCATCATATCTTTAGTCTGGATCTTGCCTTCA